>NC_000015.10:93107944-93259459 GCF_000001405.40 Homo sapiens | reverse complement strand
GACAGTGTATACAGCATTGGGATGGAGCGGGATGGCATGAGATTTCATCGTGCCACTCAGAAGAGTGCACCATTTAAAACTTATGAATTGTTTATTTCTGGAATTTTCCATTTAATATTTTTGGACTGCAGTTGACTGCAGGTTAACTAGAAGTTGTGGAAAGTGAAACCATGGATAAAGTGAAACCATGAGCATGAATGCTTGTCTCCAAATCACACTTACTGTACAGACATCCTGACTGGAACTCCAGCAGCCATCTTGTGACTTTGAGGATAGAAGTCATATGCCTAGAATGGAAAAGCAGAGCGAGAGAGAAAAAAAAAATGCTTCTATAGCAGCCCTGAATTGCTTGCTTTTAGACTTCTCTACGAAAGAGAAGTTAGCCTTCATTTAAATCATTTATTTGGTTTCCTCTCTTAGACAGCTAGATCTAAATGCAAAACAACAGCCACGTGGTTTTCTGCCTCTGAGCCACGGCGTAGCTGTTCTCTCTGCCAAAAACCCCTTCATCCCTGTCCTCCCGTGAATTTCTGGTCAGGTTAGAAGCCTCCACTGAGGCATCCCTCCCCGCGTGGAGCTTCTTCAGTTGACCTCTCAGGCAGGCCCGGTTTCTCCCTCCTGAGTTACACCTCTCCTCTAAGCCAGACGAACTCACTTATCATTGTCTTGGGATAGTTTACACTAGTGGTTCTCTAAGTGGGTCCTGGGCCAGCAGCAGCACCTGGGAGCCCCACCCCAGACATACTGAATTAGAGACTCCCGGAGCAGAGTGAGGCCCTTGGAATCTGTGTGTTACAAGCTCTCCAGGGGATTCGGATGCAGCTCGACTCTGAGATCCCTGCTTCGCATGCGTCCAGTTTTCTAGAGGAGGAGGGTCTGTGTCTGACATCTTTTTTTTTTTTTGAGACGGAGTCTCACTTTGTTGCCCAGGCTGGAGTGCAATGGGGTGATCTCAGCTCCCCACTCCGCCTCCCAGGTTCAAGCAATTCTCCTGCCTCAGGCCCCTAAGTAGCTGGGATTACAGGCACCCGCCACCATGCCCGGCTAATTTTTGTATTTTTAGTAGAGACAGGGTTTCACCATGTTGGCCAGGCTGGTCTCGAATTCCTGACCTCAGGTTGATCTGCCCACCTCGGCCTCCCAAAGTGCTGGGATTATAGGCGTGAGCCACCACGCCTGGCCATACATGGCTTTCTTGATGGGGTGAGCAGCCCAGACTACCATCTGGTTTTCTAGAAAGGAAAAGTGGGGAAGACAGTGGACAGGATGCATTGCACATGAGAACATGATGAGGAAGGTCCTCAGATTGCCAGGGGAGGTGATGAAACTTGGCAGCCGCCCCTCAGAAATACTTCAAAGCCAGTGGGGGAGGAATGTTCCTCTCAGCAAATGAAGAAATATTCAGCTAAGCTGGGACCCAGACATGAGCTTCTGAGAAAAAATAAAGCATGTCAACACCTTCCCTACACTTCTCCTACATGGATGTGAGAGAATCAAGGAGGAGGGAGACATTTGTCTATCAATTCAGCTCAACAAACTTTTCTGAAGACCTCATTGTGCCAAGCAGATCTGGGTACATGGGGGTCCGGGGTGACCACAAGCCAACTCTGCTCTCAAGTCCTGTTGTCACACCCCGTAGGTGAGCTGACGTATTTCATCTCAGCTATTGCCATCATCATCATCCTCACTGCTGGGCTGCTATTCACAGAAATTCACAGCCTATGAGATGAGACTCACCTGTACAAGGCGTTCATCAGGCAATGTGATACATGCAGTTATTAGATGTTTGTATGTGATGAAGTAGTGAGGAGAAGAGAATGATGATTGACTATCTCAACAATCAGGCAAGGTATAACCAAGGGGAAAATACTGAGAAAGGTTTTGAAGGATAAATAGGAGTTTGCCAACCTTAAGCTAAGGTAGGACACCTGAGAATTCCTTTGTCTCCAGAAGTCTTTAAATATGGATCTATATGATGGACTCCAACATTGAAATTCATTCTTCTGGAAGATCCCTGAGAATAGCGCTTTTCAGACATTAATGTGCACACAAATCATATGGGAATCTTGTTAAATGATTCTGGTTCAGAAAATCTGGGCTAAGTCCTAAGAATTTGCACTTCTAATAAATTCTCAAGTGATGCTGATGCTGCTGGGCTACAAACCACAAGTCAAGTATCCAGGCCTAAGCAGCAGTTCTCTAGCTGTTCGTAGTCTCACTACACCCCCCACGAAGGAGATTCATTTTACAGCATTTAAGAACCGAGTCTTGAGTTAAGAGATCTGTCCCATACTACATGGTTAAGAAGTAGCAGAGCTGGGGCTGGGCGCGGTGGCTCACTCCTGTAATCCCAGCACATTGGGAGGCCAAGGCGGGCGGGTCACGAGGTCAGGAGATCGAAACCATCCTGGCTAACACAGTGAAACCCCGTCTCTACTAAAAATACAAAAAAATTAGCCGGGCGTGGTGGTGGGCGCCTGTAGTCCCAGCTACTCAGGAGGCTGAGGCAGGAGAATGGCGTGAACCTGGGAGGCGGAGCTTGCAGTGAGCCAAGATCGCGCCACTGCACTCCAACCTGGGCGACAGAGCGAGACTCCGTCTCAAAAATAAAAAATAAAAGAAAAATAAAAGAAGTGGCAGAGCTGGGATTTGAACCCAGGTCTGCCTGATTCAGGGCCACAGGGTCTCAAGCACTGTTCTCTTTACAAAAGAATGAACCTCTAATCCCCCAAACCAGAGTCTGATGTGAGACTAGCTGGCATAACGAAGCAATTCCCTCCTGAAGATCCTAGAGTCTAGCACGCGGAGAGGCCCAAGTTCCACCTGCACTGACCAAGCACAGCCAGGTTCAGGGACTTTAAAAAACCAATTCAAATCCATGACTTTTCCTACCAGAAGAAACTGTCATTTGGCCTCTTTCATGTAGCAGTGGGCCATGCAGTCCTTGGACAACAGAGCAATCAGGTACAGAGGGAGAAAACAGAGCATGGCCCATGAGGGCTGTTCTGGCCCTGCCAGGCGCAGTGGCTCATGCCTGTAATCCCAGCACTTTGGGAGGCTGAGGTGGGTAGATCACCAGAGGTCAGGAGTTTGAGACTCACCTGGCCCCATCTTTACTAAAAGTACAAAAATTAGCTGGGCGTGGTGGCACTTGCCTGTAATCCCAGCTACTCGGGAGGCTGAGGCGGGAGAATCGCTTGAACTGGGGAGGCAGAAGTTGCAGTGAGCTGAGATCATGCCACTGCACTCCAGCCTGGGGAAGAGTGAGACTCTGTCTCAAAAAAAAAAAAAAAAAAAAAAAAAATCCTGGCCATATGCAGAGCCAACTACATTACTTGCAGAGTTTGATGCGAAATGAAAATGCAAAACCCTTTGTTCAAAAAAAAAGCAGGGAAAGAGTTCTTCCTTTCTCTACAGTCTCTCTCTCAAGCTGTCATGGTATTTTTATTTGCTATTTAATGGTGTGCCCCCTCGGGCATGGGATTCACCTGTGTGGCAGGTGCAGTCCCTCATAGTTGCCCAGGGCCTGCCTCATGGCTCTGTGCATGGGGCATGCCTGCCAGGCTGGCATCCTGATCCAGGGCCCCTGAAGATGGGGGTGGCAGCAGTTGCCAGGAGGGAGTGAGGAAGCAAAACCCTTACAGGGTAAGTGGGGAGGTGCAAAATAGGGCGGCAGGCCCAGGCAGGAGTCGAGGCTCCAAGCCTGCTGCATGCTCCATTGTCCCATGGGACTTTGCTTACAAAACACACACTCAAAAATAAAATTACTAAGAATTTCAAGATGGTGAGCATAGGGCATTACACCTGGAGTGTGGAGTCCTACGTGACTACACTGGTAACATACCCACAAGGCCCTGCCCTACCTTGGTTTAGAGACACCTAGCCTTGAGCAGGTGGCTTGACCTTTCCAAGCCTCAGTTTCCTCATCTGCAGATAAGCATGAAAATACCTACTTCGGCCAGGCATCGTGGCTCACACTTGTAATCTCAGCACTTTGGGAGGCCAAGGTGGGCGGATCATGAGGTCAGGAGATCGAGACCATCCTGGCTAACATGGTGAAACCCCATCTCTACTAAAAATACAAAAAATTAGCCAGGCATGCTGGCGGGTGCCTGTAGTCCCAGCTACTCGGGAGGCTGAGGCAGGAGAATGTCGTGAACCCGGGAGGTGGAGCTTGCAGTGAGCCGATATCACGCCACTGCACTCTAGCCTGGGCGACAGAGCGAGACTCTGTCTCAAAAAAAAAAAAAACACAAAACCCTACTTCAGGTGACTGTGAGATTTCAGGAGATAACAGGGAAGTAGTGAGATGAAAGACCAGTGGATTTTTCTGTATCTAGTCCTTGGCACAATGACACGTGTTCCCCTGCACAGGACTCATTTGCAGCTCATCCTGACTGTGCACCTCCCCACAGGGGCCTGGCAGCCCTGGAGCTGGTCTACAACCTATTCAGGGAGATGAGCCCCTGATCACATCTTCAGAGGTCTGGCAATATCGAGATGCTATGGAAATTCCTAAGCACTCTATCTCCGTACTTCTCCTGCCAACCCATTAACAAATAGCTCTCAGGAAGCACTGGTCCATGGAACATACTTAGAGGAGCACCGACGTAAAGTGTCTCCGACACTCCAAAAGTGATGGGGATTCTTGCATTTCTTTGGCCAGAGCTGCCTTCAGGAGAGTGGTTCTCAACTGCACATAGAAGCCCCCTGAGAAGCCACAAGCATCCCCACGCCCCTGCCTCCCCCACCTCCAACAGCTAAATCAGAGTGTCTGGGGAAGAGGAAGCCAGTCCTTAGTAGTGTCTAAAGTTCCCCCAGGTGATCCCAATATGAGCCCGGGCAACAGAGCACCACTGATGATGATGTATGAGGGCTGCGCATCATCCCTCCTGGGGATGCTATTATCACCCGCTTTGACAGGACAGAAAACAAAGAGAGAAGTAAGTGGCTTTCCAGGACCATGCAGTTAGATGTGTGCACCACCCTGGCCCTCACTTTGCAAAGCAGCAATAGCCTCCCCTGGGAGCTTGTTAGAATTGAATCTTAAATGGTTTAATAAAATTATTTGACCCTCCCCATCATCCACAAAAATGTCAATATCCAGAGAAGTGCCCCCTTTTGCTCAGCTGTTCTACTGCTCTGTGACATCCAAGAGTGTCTCAGAACAGAAGCCGGCATCTGAGGCAGAAAGCCCTGGGTGTGTCAGCGGCCCCCCAGCTGCCCAGCTGTTGACAGTCTCCCCCGTGTTCTAACCCCAGGTTCCCCGGTCTGTTCCAGCTGTAGCCAGTAACAGCACCTACGCCTCTTCAGGAGGCCATGGGCACAAGGAGGAAAGCTCTCTGTTCAGCTGACTTCAATGACCATCAGCAGCCACTGACCCAACAGCCATGAAAAGCACTCCAGCCATTAAGTATCAAACCCAGCCAGGGACTAAGAGTTTCCCCATCTCTCCTGGCAAGAGGCTGTTCCCGCATTTCTTGTGACAGATGTGGCTCTTACTTTGATCCCACTCTCCAAAAAGGACTGTGGACCTTCTCCAAGCCCTTTGTTCCCAGAGGGGGTTAGCAAGGAATCCGCGGAGCTGCTGTGGGAAGCTATCTGGGCATAATCCCTTGTGGAAAAGGCAGCTGGCCCTCCAGCTGGGCCCAGGTGGTGAGGATGCAGGCCTGAGATGGGCTGGGGTGAACTCTGCACAGCCAGATGAACCTCCTGTTCTGCAGGCCTTCAGTGCAGCCCCTCAGGAGCCAAAGCCTCCACTCTCCCAGCCCCATGGAGACGGCGCAAGGGCTCACCACTTCTCACCCGGGACTTTTTCCCTTTTGACAATATGAACCAGCTGGTGTGAGGGATCCCAGTGCAGCAGGGCACACGGCATATGTAGGTCCCCCACCGCATGGAGACTTTGGTGCTCCGGATGGCAAGGGCTACACCACGGCTTCTCAAACTTCTTTGTGCACGCCAGTCACTGGAGCTCTCGTTCTAATGCAGAATTGGATTCAGGAGGTGGAGGGGAGGGGGCTGAGATTCTGCATTTCTAACAAGCTTCTAGATGATTCCAGACTACTAGTCCATGGACCACACTTTGAATATGGAGGGCTCAGGTTTGAATTCTTCTCTGGACCATTCATGACTGCATGGCCTTGAGAAAGGTATTTAACTCTCAGAACCTCTGTTTCCTCTTCCTCAAGATGGAGCAATAATCAGCATCTACCCTATAGAGTGCAAGGCAGCCAAGCTCCTGAGTGGGTGAAGGGCGGGGCTGGAGTTTAATCCCAGGCAATGCCTTCAGCAAAGCGAGAGAAAGACCCCCTGTAAGGAACCAACATTATTCTTTCCCCAGGTGATGGGGCAGGTGGGTTTAGAATCAAGCAGACCTGAACGCACTCTGAGTCTGAAGCCACTCCTCTGTAACTTATGGACAACAAAACTTATGTAAGTTTTGTTGCTGGGAAGAGGAAGGAAGGAAGGAAGGAAAGGGTGGGAGGACTTTAAGTCAACTGCTTAGCACAGGACTGAGCACTCAAATGTTTGTTTCCTTTTCCTATGTTAGCTTCCTGTTTTTCTGTTGGTTTTCCATTTTTATCTCTCCAGAGAAAATGCAACCATTAATCCAACAGGGTCAACTAGGAGTTTCTGAGGATTATCATTCAATGACCATGAGCATGAATGCTTGTCTCCAAATCACACTTACTAGTAAGGATCCTTTCATTACTAGTGATAGAAACCCCCACTCTCACTTCAGGATATTATGGCTCCCTTAAGTGAACACTCCATCGGGGTTCAGGCACAGCTGGATCTAGGTACCTAAGTGATAGTGTCAGGGATGTGTCTCCATCTTTTTGTTCTGCTTTCCTTAGCATTGGCCTCATTCCCAGATAGGCTCTCTGAGTGTGGTAACAAAGATGACCTCCAGCAGCTCCAGGTTGGCTGACCTGGCATAAAAAGATCCTCTTTGCCAAACAATCCACAAAGAGTTCCAGGACTAATTCTTATCGGCCCACGCAAAGTGATGTGTCTGTCCTAAGTAACCTGCTCAGCTCTGTGTGACATGTCCATCCTGGAAGCGGGGTGGGAGCCCGTATGGTAGACGCACCTGACAGTGATGACTTGAGCATACCCTGAGAATGACCCTGCATGGCAGATGCACCTGAATGTTTGTTAGTGTTCCAAGGATCCTAAGGAATGGGAGGGGCCAACCCTTATCCATTCCTTAGCTACGAGAAACCTCTGAGCCCCCAGCCTGACGCATGGAACGTAAAGGGCCCGTGCAGGACATTGAGGCCCTTTGTTTTGAGTTAAACGAGGGTTGCCAGGTGGAGATTGTTACAGGGAGGGTGCTAGGTGAAAATGCTGTACAAACCACATGCTTTTGGAAGCAGTTGTGGTTCTCCTGCCCAGCCCACCACCACTGGACCACTGTGTATGTAAGCTTCCTGCTAATAAAACCCCATGTCTCATTTGAGGACTCTGGGTCTCTTCCTCATCCTCCTGAACCTAATGCCTTCCCTACCGAAGTTAATAGGAGCCCAGCACAACAGAGACTAGCCCCCGGATCATTTTGACAGGGTAAATGGGAGGTATATTAATTTGCTAGGGCTGCCATAACAAATACCACAAACTGGAGGACTTAAACAACAGAAATGCATCTTCTCCCAGTCCTGGAGGCCAGAAGCCCAACATCAAGGTGTCCAAAGAGTTGGTTCCTGCTGGAGGTTCTGAGGCAGAGCCCGTTCCAGGCCTCTCTCCTAGCTCCTGGAGGCGCTGACAATCCCGATCCTCCGTGTTCTTTCCCTTCCAGTTATTTCATTCCAGTCTCTGCCTCTCCTTCCTTCTCTGTGTCTTCTCATGGTAACACCAGTCCTTGAACTTAGGACCCCCCCTAATCCAGGATGACCTCATCCTAGCTATATCCACAAAGACTCTTATTTCCAAATAAAGTCACATGCTGAGCTTCCGAGTAGACATGAATTGGGGTGGGGAGGGAGGCATTATTCAACCCGGTATAGGTGGTGAACCAGAAGAAAAATTGAGTATGGATACCAGAAAAAAGAAAGTATGGATGCTTGGCAGGCAAAATATAAAGCCAACAGATGTCCACAATACCACATAAGTCACCCATCATCAAACTGTCAAAATCGAAGAGATCTTAAGCAAATCTGTTGTCCCGCTACCTAGTAACAACTGTGTCTAGTTAACTCCACAAGGAAAATCCCACAGGGGACGCAGTTCCACAGCAACCAGGAATCTCTCTTCGATGGGAGTGTTTTTTAGAAGCTGAGCTAAATTTGTAACTGGAATTCTCTTCAAGTTAACTTACCGCCTGCCCCCTGTGCTGACTTCACATATGTCCAAAATACTGAGAGCTCTAGCCCTCCAGGGAATTCGACTTCCGGCCCACAGAGTGTAGCCACATCTAAAAATGTCAGGATGCTTCGTGAAGGCAAAGTCAACTATTTCTGCATCTCCATCCTCAGGAAACCTATCCTCCTACTTGGCTCAATGGGCCTGTCTTCTCAGAATTATCATCACTAAGACAGTTAGAGATTTTACTTTTTTTTTTTCTCACTTGTAGAAGAAAATTCAAATTTCAGTTTCTTGTGGGGAAAAAAATGTAGAAGAATATAAGCCAAACTCTTACCAGCGGTTATCTCTGGAAGGTGAAAAAAAGAGAGTTCCAATGGAGTATAAGTTATGTTTGAAATAAGAAAAATACATACAGACACTTTTAAATTAAAAATAGCTGCTATTAGTTCTGTTAAACCCATTAACGGACTTTATGCTGTAGTGCTAACAGCCATTGACATGATACACAAGTAGCAAAATTTCTCCCCTAACAATGACAAAAACAAAATCTAAGCACAACAAAAGCAGTGAAAACAGAAAAGTCCATGTGAAAAAAATCCAAGGCAAACGACATTTATCATTTCAATTTCCTTAAAGGAGCAATGATTTTCCATTTGATGTAGTGATAATTCCTGGGGACCTGAGACCTTGGACAAGGGTTAAGAGTCCAAGGGGTGAGTCACACTTCCCAGCTGTGTGACCCTAGGCAAGTCACTTTGCCCCTATGGGCTCAGCTTCCTCATTTTCTAAAAATATCCCCACGAACTCATTTATATAGTCATTGTAACAATCAAATTGATCCACCTATGGGAAGGAGCTTTGAAAACATGATAAACATTATATGGGATTATTAAAAAAATTCTTAATTATTTAAGCATATGTGGCATCCTTCCAGACCCCAATAAAGTACATAAACAAAGGTAGTCCTTTCCCTCAAAATGATGGCTTTTGTTTAACCTCAGTGCCAAAGGCTAAAATCTTCATACTCCTCAGTCTGAGAGCTGTAACCATGCAAGGTTTTACTCTTATTATTTATTTATTGTCTTCAAGCTCCATCCCCTCACTCCCTTTCCCCTCCCCAGATTCAAGCTCCATCCCCTCACTCCCTTTCCCCTCCCCCTGCCTCTGGGCAACCTTCATTCTCTTTAATAGAGTGCTTTTTGCACATATTCCTTAAAAGCTGTATATATTTGTATGGGTGTATCTCTAATCTATGTAAATGGCATAGATAATTCATTTTGCTTCCTAGAGTTCTCACTAACACTGCGTTGTTGAGATCCAGCGATGTCGCTGTTGGCTGGCTGATCTGTTTCCTGTAATTGATGCGTCAAACTTCATGTGCATCCACAGCACTTTGTCAGCCTCATCTCTTAGCTGAGAGAGAATTCCATACTTCTACAAATGACACAGCAAAGAACATCTTTGTTCGAGGATCCGGGTTGATGTAGCCTCTTTGGGTAGGCAATACTCAATTCGCATGCTCTCCAATCCAGTCTCCTCGTAGCAGTGAGGGGAGGCTCCTGGATCTCCCACCACACTTGGCACTATCCAGCTTTCTAATAAAGATATAGTCTAACAGATGTAAAGTGGTAGCTTGTGGCTGTTTAATTTTCATCTGATTACTAAGATATTAAGCACCTCATCATGTGTTTATTATTTGAGATGGGAGGTTTTTCTGCTAAAAATTGCCTCATTCTATCCTTTTCCCATTTTGTTAGAAGTTGCCATCTTTTTTTCCTGTGGATTTGAGGATTTTCCTGAGTAAAGACCTTCTCCCATTTCTGTCATCTATTATAAACTCTGTCCAGGGACTGGACCAGAAATCCTTAATATCAATGTAAGCAAATCCACCTCTTTTCTGCCTTATGGTTTGGCTCTTCCTATTAGCACCACCTAGTAAGCAAAACTCGCCTTGTGGCTTAAGCTCTCCTGTTGCCCTAAAGATGGAATGCAAGCACCTCACACTGATACACAGGGCCCTTTTAATCCCAACCTTGCCTGCCTCTTTTCTGTTACCAAAGTCCACTCTTCCATCCACAACTCTGCCTTGCATGTACTGTCGCTGTTCTCACTTTTTTTTTTTTTTTGAGATGGAGTCTCGCTCTGTTGTCCAGGCTGGAGTGCAGTGGCGCGATCTCGGCTCACTGCAAGCTCCGCCTCCCGGGTCCACGCCATTCTCCTGCCTCAGCCTTCCCAGTAGCTGGGACTACAGGCACCCGCCACCACGCCCGGCTAATTTTTTGTATTTTTAGTAGAGACGGGGTTTCACTGTGTTAGCCAGGATGGTCTTGATCTCCTGACCTCGTGATCTGCCTGCCTTGGCCTCCCAAAGTGCTGGGATTACAGGCGTGAGCCACCACACCCGGCCCTCTCACTTTTAAGATTCCCTTGTTTCTCTTCTTCAGCCTGTAAATGTGAAGATTCTTTCAAGTGTCACTTCGCTTGTGAGTATTTGGGGTGTCTTTTTTTTTTTTCTTAGAGTCTTGCTCTGTCACCCAGGCTGGAGTGTAGTGGCTCGATCTTGGCTCACTGCAACCTCCGCCTCCTGGGTTCAAGCGATTCTCCTGCCTCAGCCTCCCAAGTAACTGGGATTCCAGGTGCACACCACTATACCCGGCTAATTTTTGTATTTTTAGTAGAGACGGGGTTTCACCATGTTGGCCAGGCTGGCCTTGAACTCCTGACCTCAGGTGATCCACCAGCCTTGGCCTCCCAAAGTGCTGGGATTACAGGCATGAGCCACCGTGCCCGGCTTGGGGTGTCTTTTCAACTCAGTACAGCATTGATATTTGCACATTTAACCAATGTGGTTTCTACTTTGGGAAATAAATCCTCATGGCCCAGAACATGTTACTGTTATTATATCACTAAGTAGTGCCTAGTTAGAAGAAGAGATACTCACCTGTTCATGTTACAGGTGCAGAAGCTAAGCCTTCATCAATGCCAGTGCCAGACACACATTAAAGGCGGCAAAACATTTTGTTCAGTCTACTGCCTTAGAGGAAAGAGACTCCAATATAACTGAGCTCAAATCCAGCTAGGACAAAGGTATGGAGGTTTCTAAAGGGAGAACAGAGAGGGAACTAAAAGGGATTATGGGGAAGTGAAAGGAGGGAATAAAAAAAAAACAGACTAGAGGGGCTATGGGGAAATGGAAAATTACATAAAGGGGGATGGGTGGAAAATTACTAAAAATTATTTGGCAAGACAACAGTATCTGTTGGGCAATAGAGATTCTGCAGCTTGACAGCATTGCAATTTTTTGAGCCCAAACGCAGCACCAGGCTGGGGTCAGTAGCCCTCAGAATCACGGCGAGTGCAGGTGGAAGCCAGGATAAAGTTAAGACAAGCCTCCCAGTGTGGCGTTCAGGCAACTGCTTTGTGCCACGTGGGACATGCTTAGGTAACCTGCATGTGGCTGAACGATCGACCGGTGTCAAAGCCTAGGTTTAAACACAAGTCGGCCTGACCACAATGTCTGAAGTCAACCCCCGTGTTACTTAGGTCGGCATTTGTAATGTTGCTG
The DNA here is from genome assembly GCF_000001405.40 of Homo sapiens. Lineage (NCBI taxonomy): Eukaryota > Metazoa > Chordata > Mammalia > Primates > Hominidae > Homo > Homo sapiens. The sequence goes on along the minus strand of NC_000015.10, from coordinate 93,247,587 downwards.
AGGTGTGGCGTGAGCCCCATGGAAGGCTTGTGAGCGGGAGGGAGTCATTTCACTAGTGAGGCTGCCCCACCGCCCTCAGCTTCATGGTTACCTCTGGTCCTGAGGTAACAGGAAGTCTTGTGAAGAAGAGCACTTTGTAGAAATTTGCCAGTTGAGACTCCAAAAAAACAGCCTGGTGAAATAGGTGAGTGATTACTTTGAGATGGAAGAATATGCAAGAACTACTTGCTTCTTGATGGGAATGTAATTTAGGAAAAAGGCAAAACATTCATTTCACAAACATGGAAACTTTCGTAAGTTTCTGGAAGTTTCTAGAAGTCCTCTCAACCTTCACTGAGATACAGTGAACTCTTTGAATGGGTTTTGGCAAAAAAGAAAGAAAAGCAAGTGTCATTGTTTCCATATGAACATCAGCCGTGAGACACTCCATTGTAAGGCACACTTTCAGCAAAAAGAGACATTAGCAACACTCCTCTCTGTGGCAGAGAACAACAGGTTGTAAAACTTAAGTCCCCCTCAGAGTCTAATTTAGATAATTATAGTTTGCCTCCTAGGACTCTCCCTGAGGATCCAGCTGGCTTTGGCTGTCATCATTACTGCTATTCTTCTAAATTACTGGGCAGGGCAGGATGACGAGGCTGCGCCTGACGCAGGGAGAGCCTAGGAGGAAAGGTGTTCCTCCATCAGCGGCTCGTCCCTGTCTGACAAAAACCATTATTTTGTACAGAGCACAACGCACCCACACTCGGTGTAACAGAAGCAGAAAAATCAGCAAGGGTTTTATGTGGTTTTTCCTGTCGCTCGGCCTTTCCAAAATGAGACAGACCTCCTGCACTCTCCTGGAACCTTACATGCTCCTTCGCAATAGACCTGATTCAGGAACACCAGCTGAGCTGACTCGGAAGCCACATCACATAGAAGCTAAGAACACCTTGTCAAAGCCCGACTGTGTGGGTTCCTATCCTGGTTCTGCCACTCTGGGGTGTGTGATGTGGACCAAACTCTTCTCCCTTCGTGTGCCAGAGAGTCCTCGTCTGTGACATGGGGATAATAGCAATGCCTTCCTCACGGGAGTCACGAGGAGCAACTGAATTCACCGCACACAGAGGAGAGCCTGGCCCCTTGCAAACACGCTCCACAGCGTCTGCTCCTACCAGTCCCTCAGAATCAGGTCATGAGTCTCTCTGAGCCGGGCTGCGGCCAGCGGTGTGCAGTTATCACAAATGACGACAGCAGCAGGTACACGTATGCTGCTGTGAACACAGGAGATGTTATGAAGAGTAGCAAGTCCCTGGGATGTGGAGAAAAGACTGGGCTGCAGGATCCAGAAAAGGACGTGTCCCATGCCTGTAAGAGTCTCAGGCCACATGCCTCCCCCTTTTATGCCTCCATTTCCCCATCTGAAAAATGTTCCAATTGAAATACATCATTTCTTAACTCTCACACTTCCATCCTAAGACTTCCATCCACTGCCTGGGCCTGGCTGAGATGTCCTTGCAGTCAGCTTTATAGTCATCCCAACGTGTGCTGTTGGTATCTAGGTTGGAAATAAATTGCCTGGAATAAAGACTTGATTGTGAAACCTAGGAAGGAGCCACTGAGAGACCTCCCAGAGTGTTGCTGAGATTCGAGACAGGACGGGGATGAAGGGAGTGGATTCCTCAGGCTGTCTGACAACAGACAGAGAGAGGAAAAGCATGTGCCAGAATGCTTTTCATAAATCAAGAGCAGAAGGGCCATTCAGAGACCCCCTCGGGGACCTGACATCATCCTTGCCATAACCCCAGGTGGCTGCAAAATACCGAGTCTTTTGGTCTCTTAGAGATAGACAGGCTGAGGGGCCACCCAAGAGCATGCTTCTGACCTATTTGTCCTCAGCGCTGGAAGACTCAATGCTGTTGTCTCTGCTGGCCCCCATGACAACCAGATTAGACAATCAATCTAACCGTCAGTGAAATCTACTCATTATTGGATTCTGCCCAGCCTTCCTTGGATGGGAGTTGCAGCCTGATAGCAAAAAGAAATGAACTAGACCTGAGAAGGACAGGGCCAAGGCCAAGATGAACCCAGGGAGCCGGCGTCCAAGTTGGAAGAGGAAGGTGTGCGTACTTTGAGTTCAAGGGCGGGCGTCCAAGGCTGCCCAGATTCCGCACGCATCTGCACCCTGCCTTTCAGTTAACACAGCGGAGAGAGTGAGGCAAACACCTCCAGACAGTACCCTCCAGCATAGAGAGGAGCCTCCTTACAATGGGAATGGGCAGCTCCGAGCCCCTGCTGTCCAGGGCAGGAGCTCTGGGTACAGAAGCCATCAAGACCTGCACAACCACAGAGAGAAGCCACCAGATCCCCACCGCCACCCCGCAGGCAGTGTGGGGGCTGCGCCTAGTGCTGCCTCAGCCGGATCTCCTCTGCCCCACTCGGCGCAAGAAGAGAACCCACAGGTGTGGGAGGAGAGGGCCGCAGACCCACCCCTCCCAACACCAGACTCAGCTCAGTGCCCTCTGGCACCTAGAAAAGTGCCCAGCATACACTGGCCATGCAGCAAATAGTGGCAAGGAAGGGCAGATTCCAACATCCTGGTCCTCTGCGTGGTCTTGGACAACAGGCTTTACCTCTCTGAGTCTCAGTCCCCGCTCTAAAAACTGTCATGATGATGATAATATCTGCCCGAGTGTAAGAAGAGACGGAATGGCAAATGCATGGAAAACCACTCAGGCGACTGGAAACACTCCACAAAGCAAAGGATTAAAGATTAGAAAACTGTCTCCTCCACATGCGAACCTGAGGACCTTAAGTTAAGGGAAATAAGCCAAGCACAGAAACACAAACACCGCGTGATCTCACTTACATGTGGAATCTAAAAAGCTGAAGGCATGAAAGTACAGCGCAGGATGGTGGTTACGAGGGGCTGCCGGGAGGGAGAGGTTTGGAGAGATGTTGGTTAAAGGGTACAAAATTTCTATTAGGAATAATAAAAATAAAATTTCTATTAGGAATAATAAAAATAAAATTTCTATTAGGAATAATAAAAATAAAATTTCTATTAGGAGCAAAAAGTTCAACAGTTCTATTGCACAACATGGTGACTATATTAATAACAACGTATTTTACTCCTGAAAATTGCTAAGAGAGTAGATATTAAGTCTCACCATAAAAATATGATGTGCATGTGAGGTAATGCCTATCTTAAGGGGCTCAGTGGAGCCACTCCACAATGTATACATATTTTAAAGCAACATGTATGCAATAAACATATACAATTTTTTGTCAACTAAAACATTTTTTAAAAAAGAAAATTATCTCCTCATTCCTCTCAAATATGCCCAGATAATATTCTGTGGCCAAACAAGTAAAATTCTGTTTCCTCACTTTCATCTCTTAAACTGACCACAATCTGGGCTCATCATCATCATTATTATTATTATTATTTTTGGAGACAGAATCTCACTCTGTTGCCCAGGCTGGAGTGCAGTGGCGCTATCTCGGTTCACTGCAACCTCTGCCTCTCAGGTTCAAGCAATTCTCGTGCCTCAGCCTCCTGAGTAGCTGGGATTACAAGTGCCCACAACTACACCTGACTAATTTGGCTAATTTTTTATATTTTAGTAGAGACAGGGTTTCACCATGTTGCCCAGGCTGGTCTCAAACTCCTGACCTCCGGTGATCCACCCACCTCAGCCTCCCAAAGGGTTGGGATTACAGGCGTTAGCCACTGCGCCTGGCCTGGGCTAATAATTAACATACACACATCTCAGACAAACACGCACTCAGACACACACACACACACACACACACACACACACACATTCTCTCTCTCTCCCTCTCTTTGCCACCTCGCTCACACACACACACACACACAATTCTCTCTCTCCATCTCTTTGCCACCTTGCACACACACACACACACACACATTCTCTCTCCCTATCTCTTTGCCACCTCGCTCACACGCACACACACACACATTCTCTCTCTCCCTATCTTTGCCACGTCGCTCACACACACACACACACACACACACATTCTCTCTCTCTCTCCGTCTCTATCTCTTTGCCACCACACACACACACACACATTCTCTCTCTCCCTCTCTCTTTGCCACCTCGCTCACACACACACACACACACACATTCTCTCTCTCTCCATCTCTTTGCCACCTTGCTCACACACACACACACATTCTCTATCTCTTTGCCACCTCACTCACACACACACACACATTCTCTCTCTCCATCTCTTTGCCACCTCGCTCTCACACACACACACACACATTCTCTCTCTCCCTATCTCTTTGCCACCTCGCTCACACACACACACACACACTCTCCCTTTCTCTTTGCCACCTCGCTCACACACACACACACACATTCTCTCTCTCCCTTTCTCTTTGCCACCTCGCTCACACACACACACACCCATTCTCTCTCTCCCTTTCTCTTTGCCACCTCACTCACACACACACACACACACACACATTCTCTCTCCCTCTCTTTCTATCTCTTTGCCACCTCACACACACAAACACACACACATTCTCTCCCTCTCTCTTTGCCACCTCGCTCACACATACACACATTCTCTCTCCCTCTCTGCCACCTCGCTCACACACACACACACACATTCTCTCCCTCTTTCTATCTCTTTGCCACCTCGCTCACACACACACACACACACACACTCTCTCTCTCCCTTTCTATCTCTTTGCCACCTCGCTCACACACACACACACACACATTCTCTCTCTCTCCCTATCTCTTTGCCACCTCGCTCACACACACACACACACTCTCTCTCTCTCCCTATCTCTTTGCCACCTCGCTCACACACACACACACACACACACACATTCTCTCTCTCTCCCTATCTCTTTGCCACCTCGCTCACACACACACACACACACACATTCTCTCTCTCTCTCTTTCTCTTTGCCACCTCGCTCACACACACACACACACACACACACACAATTCTCTCTCTCTCCCTCTCTCTCTATCTCTTTGCCACCTCGCTCTGGTCGCTCCCCAGGATTCTATCGCAGTCAATGGCACCAGCATCCATTTGGTCCATGAGGCAGCACCCAGGGGCTCATGACTGACACTGTTTCCCACTCCCTGCCCGAATTTCAAATCTTGAGTCCATTCTACCCCCGGCAGGGCTTCCCAACCCCTTCTCCCACCCTGGCCTTGGACTCCGTCCTCTTGCCTGGAGTATTCCAGTTGCCTCCAAGCAGGCCCTGGCATCTGCTCCTGCCCGGCACCTCCATTCTCCCAGCTCTGATCAGGGTGATCTTTCTGGATGGCACCTCTGACCCTGTCACTTCTTCAAAGTCCTCCTGCCATTCAGCATCAAGAAGGGCCTGGCCAACTTGGCCCCCCCTACCCTTCCTCCTGGGCCTCTTCCCCAAATACTGCCCCCTCTGCTTTCCTGACTCTGTGGAATGAGCCTTTGTTCAGACCTTCAAAGACACAGGCTCCTCTTGCCTCAGGGGTTTGCAGACACTCTTCTCTCTGGCAGGAACCTGCTGGTCCTCCCTGCTCCACCTGGGAAGCCTTATTCTTCCCTCCGATTTCCATGCAAATGTTTTCCCCCCGGGGGATCTTTCTCTAACCACAGCCCTATCCCCACCCCATACTTGCCCAACCCTGGGGAGGAACCGCTCTTTTGGCCCCCTTTGGCATTTACCCACAGTTTTTAATTATACATTTGGGTGATTTTTCTTACCTAGGTCTCCACCCCCAGAAGAAAACCCCGGGAGGCGGAACTGCCTCAATTCTCTTCACCTCTGTAACTTAGAGCGCGGCCGGGAGCTTGCTAGGCAATGATGGCTGCAGTAACCCCTTGGAAATCAAAACCTTTTTATTGTTATTTTATCCTTTTTAAAAACTCTGCCTATAAATAATTGTATCTGATGTGAAATGGCCTTCGAGGAACTAGGGCTGCTTGCCATGGATCTGAGGAGATGGTTCTCAAACACGGCAGCGCGGTACAGCAGCAGGGAGCTTTCAAAAAACACCGAAGCCCAACTCCCATCCCCAGACAGTTTGTTTTAAATGGTTTAAGTGGGATCGGGCCCTACATATTTTTAAAAATTTCCCCCCACTGACTCTACTGTGCAGCCAGGATGGAGAGCCATGGGCCTTGGGGGTGCAGTCTGGGTCCACCTCCGGCCCAGCAGTCAGGAAGCAATGATGCCTTCAGTCTGGGAAGCCCATCTACCTTGAAGAAGCCAAACCATTAGATGAGGGGAGGAGAAATAGGGTCTACCCCCAAATAAGGGACAAATAAGATCCAGGCTACCTGTCAGGGTTCTTACCAAGCAATGGAGAAAGGACAGAAAGCAGAAAGCCTAGACCTGCACACAAGCTGGCTGTGGCCATCAGCAGCCTCTGGGGGTCCCAGGGAAGACCACCGCACATTCCCGGGCCTCAGGCTCACCAGAACAGGCCCAGGGCAGCAAGAACAAGTACAGCACCCCTGCCCAGCAACGTGTTCTTTTAACGCTGGGTGGTCCTAAGGAACCACCCAGCGTTAAAAGAAAAACTTTAGACAAATTAAATTTAACAGAGTTTAACTGAGCAAAGAACGGTTGAGATATAGGCAGCCCCGGACCCAGAGTAGGTTCAGAGACTCTGGCGCTGCCACGTCATTGGAAAGAGTTTACAGACAGAAAAAGGAAAGTTTCATGCAGCAGATGGAAGTAAGGTATAGAAACAACTGGACTGGTTACAGCTCGGCATTGGCCTTACGTGAACACGGCTTGAACAGTTGGCCACCTGCAATTGGCCAAAACTTTGTGATTGGTACAAGGGTAAGTTACAGCCTGTTTACATGTTCAGTGAGGTTACAGTTCACCGTAAATGGAGAAACCTTTAGGCTGAACTAAAATATGTAAGAAGGCAGCTTTAGACTAAACTTTACACCAGTGTACCCCTGCTTTGGCTTAAGCCCAGGATGTATCTAACACGTCAGCCTAAAATTCCTCAGGGCCTTGGGACTGCTGAATCTGGGGGAAGCAGAGACTAATGACAGCCAGAGAAATTCCTCTCTACTTTTCAAGACCCATCTAGAGTTTGGTGCTTAGAAAGCAAACTCTTCTTTAGTGGACATCTGAAATAGTCAGAGGTGCTATTGACCAGCCTGCCTCCCCATCCTCCTGGCAGCATGGCTTCTCAACTCAACTCATGGGTCTATTGTTTTTGTGCATGGGTGTTTTGTTCCAGTTTTGAAAGTTGGTTCTGTGCTCCAAGGACAGGACAAGATTAACAACTCAAAAAGATCATGGCCCTCTCCTCTCCAGCCCAGAAGGGCCAGCATCTCCTTGGCAATCAGCCAGCCTGGCAGTGTCCTTCCCAGTGATTGGAAAGCACTGGTACCTGCAGTCAAGGCTCCATCAGGAGGGACAGCAAACCCAAGGAGGCTCCAGAGGCTGCACAACAGGGCTGCTAGAAGCTCGTATCCCACAGCCCGCCTCAATGGGTCAGATTTGCAACAAAACCGTGTTGCCCTCACCCACACCAGGCATCAGCCACCAGGCACTTGGAGCTCAGACCTGGGGAGAAATCTGTAATAAAGCAGGGTTGCTTTCTGAATAGAGTGGAGAGTGGGAAGCCAGCCAGGACCCAAGCAAAGAAACTGGGGGCAGAAGGACACAGCAAAGAATTGTCGCTAGGGAATTGTATTCCTCACGAAGCCGACAGTCCAGGCAGGGGGAGGCAGGCCAGGGAGGCCGCACTGCAAGAGTCTGAGGGCCTCCCTTAGTTGCCACTTCCACACAGAGATGAAGATGGCGTTCAAAATGGCGGAGGGCGCCAAGGCTGGGAGCACTGAGCAAGCCACATGCCCAGCCGGATGGGGCAGAACAAACTGACAAAAATGGCCTTGGCCTGTCAGAAACTACTTCCAAGAGTCACCTTGGATGGGAAATGTTCAAAATGACAGCATTAGGCTGGCAAGCCCCACCCTGAGTCTCCAAACTAGGTCCAGTGTGCCTGCTCCAAACTCTCAGAGCCTGCGATTCATTCCCCATGAACACTTACTGCCGTCGGTCATTACACTTTTATTTCGTGACGATTTGCTCAGTGTCTATCTCTAAGCTCTGTGAAGTCAGGTCCTGCCTGGTTTCACAGGTATTGTGTCCCCAGGGCCGAGCACACTATCTGGGCTGAGCAGGTGTGAAACACATATTTGTTGAGGGAATGAATATTCTCTCCACCTCACAGACGTGGATACTAAGATTCCACTGCTAGTGCGCGACAGAGGAATACGCAAACCCAGATTTAATACACTTCTGAACCAGCGGTTCTCAAACTTCCGCTACAACAGAATCACCCAAAGGGCTCGTTAAAAATCACAGAGTTCGGGGCCTCAACTCCAGGGTTTCTGTCGCAGTAGGTCTGGGGAGGGGCCAAAGAATGCAGAATTTGTGCTTCTGTCAAGTTCAGCCAGATGATGCTGATGTTGCAGACAGGTCCAGTCTGGGGACTGTCCAGGCTCCTCGTCTCTGAGCACCTCCCCCCAGCTGGGTGCATTTGGTGGCGAAGAAAAGTCAAGGCGAATTCACCCTTGATTCACAATTGTCTTTTGTTTGTTTGTTTGTTTTTGAGTGTTTACTCAAGGCTTATATTCACGTCGTTAGAATCTGGTGTACCTCCTGGACTGTGAGGACCTCCTTCCTCCTCACCATCCTGATGACAGAGAGAGCAAGCTGCAGCAAAGCTGAGTCTCCCCGGGGGGCTGGCCAAGGCTCCAAATGAACTGGCGGCCCAGAGGCAAAGGGGTCTGGGAGACCCTCTCCAATCCCAGCACAGCTGACTCATGTCCATAAAAAAGAGAAACATGAAATTCTGCCTAGAGAGAAATGGGCAGGCCGCAGTGCCCACCACAGCCCTGGAGATTTCTAGAACGCTCCCAGAGCCACACTTTCAGACACCCCACAGTCCACCTAACGTCCCCCTTTCTCCACTCTCTTCTTCCCTTCAGAGCATTTCAACAAACTCCCAAACAAACCTCCACATAGCTGTAAACTCACATTTCGGTGTGAGAACAAATGATACAGATTTTGCATCATGTACAGCTGGTTCCATACAAACGATAAATATTTCAGCCTGTGAGTTCTATTTCTATTTTGAGTCCCAATCCACAGAAAAGACACTTATACTGACTTCCTTTATCAGGAACAGTGGCCATAAAAAATATAACTCCCTGTCTTCCAAAATGGTTGAACTATGATTCCTCAGAACCTAAAAACAGAAATACCATTTGGCCCAGCAATCCCATTACTGGGTTTATACCCAAAGGAATATAATATATCATAAAGGCACGTGCACTCATGTGTTCATTGCAGCACTATTCACAATCACAAGGACATGGAATCAACCTAAATGTCCATCAATAGTAGACTGGATAAAGAAAATGTGGTACATGTACATCATGGAATACTATGCAGCCATAAAAAAGAACGAGATCATGTCCTTTGCAGGATCATGGATGGAGCTGGAGGCCATTAACCTTAGCAAACGAACGCAGAAACAGAAAACCAAATACCACACATTCTCCCTTATAAGTGGGAGCTAAATGATGAGAACACATGGACACATAGAGGATAACAACACACACTTTGGCCTATTGGAGGGTGGAGGGTGGGAGGAGGGAGAGGATCAGGAAAAATAACTAATGGGTACTACGCTTAATACTTGGGTGATGAAATAATCTGTACAACAAACTCCCATAATACAAGTTTACCTAGGTAACAAACCTGCACATGCACCCTGAACTTAAAAAATAAAATATAAACATATGTAACTCCCTAGTTAATGGCTCATTTCAGGGTTAAGATCCCATGTCAGAGGTGTTACATGTAAAAGCAGTTCCATGGGGGCGGGAGGGGGAGAGAAATCTGAAAGATTTTAAACAAAAACTATCAGGTAGAGCAGGATTGGAGAGTTGGAGGAGATGCCCGGAGTAAGTTTTTTTGTGTTTTTGTTTTGTTTTGTTTTGTTTTTTGGGGGGGACAGAGTCTCGCTCTGTCTCCCAGGCTGGAGTGCAGTAGTGCGATCTCAGCTCACTGCAACTTCCACCTCTAAGGTTCAAGCGATTCTCCTGCCTCAGCCTCCCAAGTAGCTGGAACTATAGGCTCCCGCCACCGCGCCTGGCTAATTTTTTGTAGTTTTAGTAGAGATGGGGTTTCACAGTGTTAGCCAGGATGGTCTCGATCTCCTGACCTTGTGATCCGCCACCTCGGCCTCCCAAAGTGCTGGGATTACAGGCGTGAGCCACAGTAAGTGTTTTTTCAGCTCATTACTAGCCAACGCTAAGGCGACCTACAACACTCATTCACGTGCATTTCACACACTGGAATTTTGGAAAGAATTATGCTGTGACTGAGGTTTACCCCAGCACAATTAGGGAAGTAAGGATTTGTGTCTATTGTTCTAACTGTTAATTAACTGTGTCAACAAGATTGTAGAGAAAAAGTTTTAAAGCCTCTTAAGAAGACAAAGAGTTTTTAAGCATCCCTGAGTACTTTAGGAATACCCAAGGATTTAAATTGACAATGATAAACCATCACTAATTACAGTCATTCTTAACTGATTCTCACCAAGGATCTCTTTATTAGATAACACTTGTTAACCTGGTTTCAACTACAGCATGTACTTAAGGAAGATTAAATTCAATTTAATTCAGATCTGCGCTTCCCGAGTTTCCTAGAATATGTCAAGTAATGAGACTGATTACCCTGAAATATGCTATTCTTCAAATTGGCCCTTTCCCATTGACTCAAAATGGTCAGATTTGAGTCTGCGTCCAAAACTTGTAAACACAAAAATACAACTTTATAATACATTGTATTACAATTGCTAGGATGTCCCAAAGCAAGGACCACAGTCACATCTTTGTATCCCCAGCACCTAGCACAAGGCTCATCCCAGGTTTGCAGAAAGAATTTGCAAAGACTCACAGAAACCACACAACCTCAACAATGGATCGTTCCAGAGGAAGAAAGGCGAGGAAGTCACGTGTCAGTTTTTGAAAACAGGACTCGCTTTCTTTCACTGCATGTTTCTGATGAGCAGACACTGACTTAGGGTTTTTAGTTGCTTTATCTTACTCAAGTCTCAGGACAATGAGGAACATTCTCCCGCGCAACTATTTCGCAAATACAGGGAAAGGCAACAAGGCTGTTACGTGGGGAGGATCTGTCCAGATCCACGTCAGTTCCCCCAACCAATGGGCTCCAAGCTTTCGTGCAGGTCCAGCCCACACTGAGCCTGGGTCCACATATCCTGGGGCCTGGGACCTTGTCAGTGGTTTTGACCATTTCAGAAATTAAAAGACAGGAGAAGGCTTACAGTGACCAACGGTGAGGAAGAAGGGAGGGGCAGGTCAGGGAACGAGAGTAAAGAGGAAGACGGAGGAGAGCTTTGTGTGAAACGCACCAAGGATTGCCTCATTTTGTCTCCTTTGTGTCGTCAAAGCAGTTTGGCCAGGCAGAATGACTGCCCTGAACAAACGCACGAGTCCTGTTCACCTGTCATTGTGATCTTTCAGTGAATTAGCTGAGTAGTAATAAGTACAATGGGTGTTTAACCCATTGTAGTTAGTAACATTATTGTTGTTTAAAGTATTGTTCTTCACTTAGAATCAAGTAGATTTTGAAATGAGAACAGGAAAATGTAATCAGAGTTTGCAAGGATTGTTTCAATAAAATGAAATTGGTAAAAGAACTACAGCTTAAGAAAGCAGGTCACGATTTTTAGAAGACATAAAAATCTCAGAGGAGAAAATTCTAACTTTTTTTTTTTTTTTTTTTTTTTTTTTTTTTTGAGACAGGGTCTCACTGTGTTGTGCAGGCTGTAGGGCAGTAATTCAAGCTCAGCTCGCTTCAGACTCAAACGCCTGGGCTCAAGCGATCCTCCCACCTCAGCCTTCTGAGTAACTAGGACTCCCGGGGCTCGCCACCACACCTGGCTAATTTTTAAAATTCTTTGTTGAGACGGGGTCTCATTATGTTGCCCAGGCTGAAACTGAATTCCTGGCCTCAAACGATCCTCCCATCTCACCCTCCCAAAGTGCAGAGATTACATACGTAAGCCACCATGCCCCACCCAAAAAAATTCTTAAAACCAGATTCCAGAGTCAACATTCCCAGAGGTTAGACTAGTGTGAGGTCTAGACTTTGCATAGCTCACCCCCAGTGCCCAAGCAGTTTATTCATTCATTAAACACCTACTACATGCCAAGAGGTATTCTAGATGCTGGGGATATGACAGGGCACAAAGCACTTAAAATCCCTGCATCAGAAAGCTTCCATTCTAGATTAAGAAGACAGGCTGTAACTAGATAAACATATAAATAATGTGCCAGACAATGATAAGGATTATGATAAGGAATAAAGCAGAGTTAGAATGAGGTATGATCCCTCTTTGAATTGGGTGTTCTGGGAAGCTTCTTTAACAAGGTAACAAAACAGAGTCCTACACAGATTTCTAGGGGGAAAGCATTCCAGATAGAAGGAACACCAAACGCGAAGACACTTGAAATTCTAGTGCAACTGACTTCAATTGATTAAAGAGCATTTGCTGTGTGCCGGATGCTTTACAGCACTGATTTTATTTCAATGATACAGCAACTCTGCACCACTAATTATTATTACTTCCATTTTATGCACTGCTACATCGAAGATTTAGCCACAAGCCTAGCAAAGGGTGGACCTGTAGTTGATGGATGAACCTGGAGGTTGATAGCATTTCCGCAAGCCCAATGCTTTAAGGATTCTACTGTGGGGATCGAGTCCCTCCTGAAAGGCAGTAAATCTGCAGAGAGGTAAGTAAACACTGATTTAACTCTCTGATAGCACGTTAATGCAGCTGTCTAAAATGATATTTAGGAAGATTTTTCCTTATTTGAGTATGTGCAATGCAGTATTAAAAGAGTGTAAGAATTGTATATGTAGAATAAATTTAACTATGTAACAAAAAACCGCACAAGAATATATAATGCAAGGGAAATAAGTAAAAATATAAGCTGTGTGGTTGCGTCCTAAGTGCTCCATTTCTTTAATTCTTCACTTGTCAGTACTTCCAAAATAAGTCTCTTTTTTTAAAATTTATTTATTTTTTTGAGACAGAGTCTTGTTCTGTTGCCCAGGCTGGAGTGCAGTGGCACGATCTCAGCTCACTGCAAGCTCCACCTCCCGGGTTCACACCATTCTCCTGCCTCAGCCTCCTGAGTAGCTGGGACTACAGGCGCCCGCCACCATGCCCAGTTAATTTTTTGTGTTTTTAATAGAGACGGGGTTTCACCGTGTTAGCCAGGATGGTCTTGATTTCCTGACCTCGTGATCTGCCCGCCTCGGCCTCCCAAAGTGCTGGGATTGCGGGTGTGAGCCACCGTGCCCGGCCCAAAATATATCTCTTATGATAAGCAGGTAGGTATTAATATTTCTTTATCAGGAAAAATCATGAGAAATATTGCAAAAAGTGCATAGCCTTCTCCTTTGTCAGACCATATCTGGAGCTGTGACCACAACCCCACTGCAGGTATGTGTGGCCACCCCATTCGTAGTAAGTCTTCCATGTTACACTCCCTTCCCACACATTTTCCTTAAGAGAAGCCCTGAGCAAGGCTCAGTCAATGGTCCCCAGAGACAGGATCTGGCTGCTGCTCACCTGGCTGCCAAGGGAGGGAAGGAGCATGTGATATCTCCATCCATCACGTGGCTGGCCCATGGAGACACATTTTACAGGAGATATGCGAGCTCCACTTGCAAATCCTTCGGTTTCACTACTATAAATTCTCCTGGCTCTGATTAATAAAATATAATAGTAATTCCTAGAATATTGGCCTATTATCCAAAGTCAATGACAGAGCAATCAAAATCAGAATGAGTTATGGGGCCCAAGGATATGGTTGAAGATGAGGATGGGTAATTTCTGGCTTCCAAAGAAACACTAGAAGCATTAGGCCCAGGTAACAAATCAAAGGAATAATATTCAAGCTAGTTGTTTAAATTGCTCGAAGAGTAATAATAGGTTTATAAGGCAAATATTATAATATTTAAAAACCAGATATGAATGAAGTATCAGAGAAGTTAGGTGGACATTTGATGGGTTACAAACTGAGCCACATTGGTTGAATTTTCTATATTGTGTTTACTTCCTTCTCCTCCTGATGTATTTTTATCTTAATTTTGTTTAGTTTGAGTCTGTGGAGTTCTAGGTTGGCAGTTCTAGATATAGTTTCTTCTTTTATCAGGTAAAAATGATGCTACACATTTAACCAGACGTGACTGGGCCATTTTGAGGATAAAAGTTTCACGTCTAGTCAGCCAATGTTAAAACAGTGACAATCAGCCAATGTTAGGCAAACATTACACTCTAACATTAGAAGATTCCACAAAATGACTCAAAATATGAAAAGCACGGTCAAGGGTCCAACACCTAAGATTATCCAATCTCAAACTGCAGCTTCAGTGGGAGAAAGGAGCCGTCTCACAGAAATGCCCACTGCAGTCGAAATCCACATTGTTACCGTCATCTTTCAGAGCGGTGGGAACAGAACAGCACCCACACTGTAGAAACCACAGGGTGTTTTTGAGCCTAGACTACTGGGCGAAAAAAAAAAAAAAAAAAAAAACTGAAATTTCCCTGGTATTCTGAGCCTGAGAGCAGGCCCAGGTATCTCTTCGCCCTACCCCATCAGTGTTCCCGCCCCCCCACACCCCCCACCACCCCCCAAAATTCAGTAAGATTAGAATGAAAACTAGGAAATTCTAAATGCCTGAAAAACCAGCTGTGCTTCAAGGTACACTGGGTTGGTTATGAAAATTACCTGGTAGTACATTCTCACTGGCGGCCAGTTGCAGGTGTACCAAGAAAGCAGGGGATAATATCAAATATTCTTCTTTGTTTCTTTTTCTTTTGTCCTTTTATTTGATTCTAGCAGAGACAGCCCCTCTTAGGCACCTGCAAGCCCCACCTTCCCTGTATCCTCTGCTCTCTCCTTTCCTATCCCCCTGCCCTCACCAAGTCTCAGCATCATCTCGCTGGTTGCGGAGGGGCCGGGGCTGAGAAGACCATCACTCCTGCTGCCCTTCTAGGAGGGCCCCTCAGCCCTTAGCATTGTCCCCCTCTTTCCTGTTTCCAACAGGAAGCTTCTGTGAAACCAAATGATGTTTTTCCTAGGAAACTACATCTCCAAACACAATTTCAGCACATTATGATAGCATGAGATTTTCTTCCTGCTTGGGGAAAGAGGTCAAGGAGATGGAGCTCCCGCTGAGGACTGTGCCCCTGGATGATTGTGCTGGGAGAGGGAGTGGTCCCGACAGATTTCAGTGTCCCGTGCAGCCAGAGGTATTGTCTGTGGTTTTCCAGGACGAGTAAGCCTAGGTAAAATTTCTGACAGGACCAGTCAGTCATCAGGGGAAAAGCTAGAAGCAAAGAATCTCTCAAAATGAGCTCTTAGGGCAAAAGAAGGACTCCAGCCTCCTGCAGTGGGGGCGGTCAGCCCCACAGTGAGCAGGGGCCGTGCTAACCCTGCCATCTATACCAAGAAGGGCATTGCTTCTCCCTCTTGTCTTCTCTCTAAACAGAGGAGACTCAACTCCTATCAAAGCAATGCCCCACAAGCCTGTATTTTCTCAAAGACATCAGCTTTAGAAGCTTTGAGAAGTTCATGCTGATCTTGCAGTCTTACTCTGCATGTTTTCATATAAAAATAAAACTTAAAAATACTTACCAATTAAACTCTCCAGCAGGTTTGCAGAGCTGGGTAAGATGGAGCAAATACAGTCCCTTCTATCTCTCCCAGTGATCACAGCCAAAAACCCTGGGCAGAATACATGCAGCAATCATCAGAGGTGTCTAGAAAGAAAACCACGGCAAGCAGATGGAGAGAGAGATAACATTCAGAGAAACATGGAGGTGGCAATGAGTTCACCAGCTTTTCTTTCCTCCCACATCTCCCAGCTTAGACTCAGGACACCCAAATCCCAGAACTGCTCAGCAGGCATATAGGGAGAAGTGCCCAGGAGAAACCATCCCTCTATGGTCACAAGACCAGGAAAGGGGCCCCTGAGGAATGGAGAGAGAGGAGGAAATCCACTGTTTTTTTCTTTCTCTGTCTCCTGCCCCAGGCAAATGTTGTAAGACTGCACTCCCATGACAGCAGCAGCAGCCACGAAGGCACCTGAAACTCTGAAAGAAAATCCTTTTTTCTAACCAGAGGGATGAAAAGGAAGGAGGGAATCCTGGTCCTTTCTCTCTCTCTCTCTCTCTCTCTCTCTCCTTGCTGCTTTACTTAGAACCACATCCAGACACAAGAAATGCATGACAGGCCTGGAAGGCAAACGCCTCAACTTTCTAGCCTGAGAATCAGGAAAAGGGGTCCTAGGGAGCTGAAGGGTGTTGAAGAAGTCATGAAGAGGAAGGAGTTTGAGAAATGGACCACAAACAAATGTGTATGCTGTCCTGGGCCCGTCACTGAACTATGCATGCATGGAGCTAACTTCAAATAACTTAACAATGGCTTTAAGAAATGAACTAAGTTGTAGATCATTGTCCAGGTCTAAAACTGGTCCCTGGAAGGAATACACGATCCATAGGTCAACATAACACAGTAAATGTTTGAAGGCTGACCTAACATAGGCAACAGAAGACAGCTCAGGACTCAAAGCCTGAGCCTAACCAAGCAGATGCCTGCCAAAAGAAAAAATATCAACATTCTCCAGAGGATTTCAATGAGGGCCAGAGTCTCATAATGTAATATTTTAAATGGCCAGGGCACAATCCAAAATTACACAATATACAAATCAGGAAAAGATAACCACAGATGCCAACATTCAGATAACCCAATGTTGGAAATATCAGACAGTCATTTTTAAACAGCCATTATAACTATGCTGTATGAAATAAACGAAAATTCTCTTGAAATACCTGGAAAAATAGAAATTCTGAGAAGAAAAATACAAAGGACCAAAAAAAAGTTAGAACTATAAAATAGAAATAGAAAACTTACTGTTTGTGTTATACAGAAGAAAGGATATGAGAGAAGAGTTAGTGAACTTAAAGGTGTATCAATAAAAGTTATCCAATTGAAGAAAAACAACAATAGAAAGGTTTTTTTTTTAAAAAAGAACAGCTTCAGGGACCAATAGGACAACATCAGAAGGTTTAATATATGTATCATTAGAGTCCCAGAGGATGGGAGAAATAAATTGGTGCAGAAGGAAAATATTTTAAGAAATCGGCTGGGCGTGGTGGCTCACACTTGTAATCCCAGCACTTTGGGAGGCCAAGGCAGGCAGATCACCTGAGGTCAGGAGTTTAAGACCAGCCTGGCCAACATGGTGAAACCCTGTCTCTACTAAAAATACAAAAACAAATTAGCCGGGCATGGTGGCAGGCACCTGTAATCCCAGCTACTCAGGAGGCTGAGGTGGGAAAATCACTTGAACCTGGGAGGCAGAGGTTGTGGTGAGCTGAGATTGTGCCACTGCACTCCAGTCTGGGTGACAAGAGCAAAACTGTGTCAAAAAAAAAAAAAAAAAAAAAAAAAAAAAAAAGAAGAAGGAAGGAAGGGAGGGAGAAATCATAGCCAAAAACTTCCCAAATGTGGCAGAAGGCATAAATTTACTGATTTCAGAATCTCAATCAACACCAAACCAGAAAAAAATCAAACCAAGATTTACCAAGATACATCATCATTAGTCTGCTGTAAAGCAAAGACAAAGGAAGCAGCAAGTTACATATATAGGAAACACAATATAACATTGAGGATTATTGTCCCAAAACCATGGGAGCCAGAAGGAAGTGGAACAACATTTATAGCATACTGAAAAAGAAGAACTGTCAACTCGTAATTTTATATTAAGTGAAGATATCCTTGAGAAATAAATGCAAAATAAAGATATTCTTCGATGAAGGAAAAGTAATTTATCAGCACCCTTGCCCCCAAAAAAGTTGTTTTTAAAAAACTTGTACATTTTTAAGGTATACAATATAATATTTTAATATATTTATCTTGACTTATCTTGCTATACATATACAATGTGAAGGGATTACTATAGTCAAATTAACACGCCCATCATTTCATACAGTTACCTTTCTTTTTTGAAAGAGAAATTATTCATACAGAAAGAAATGATACCAGAGGGAAAATGTGGAATTTCTGGAAGGAAGGAAGATAAGAAAAAAGGGAAATATCTGGGTAACATATTGAACTATTTTTCTTCTCTTCAATTCTTTAAAATATTTAAGACTATTTAATGCAAAACTTACAATATTCCTAATGGGTTTTCAATGTACACAGATGTAATACAGATAATAACAAAACTTAAAATAAGGAGTATAAAGGGACCTAAATAGTTGAGTATTCTACATTTTACTTGAAGTGATAAAATATTAATTCTTATTAGTAGCTGAAAATTAAATATGTATATTATAATCCCTAGAGCAACAACCAAAAAAACTACCCAGAAAGACACTAAAAATGTTAATGAATTAAAAGTCTCAAAAATATTTAAGTAATCCAAAAGAAGGCAGGAAGGGGGAAAGAGAAAAATGAAAAACAGAGAAGATATGCAGAAAACAAATAAGAAAAGGGTAGCCTAAATTCAACTGTATCAATAATTAATGTAAGTGGTTTAAACACATCAATTCAAAGTCAGAAACGGTCAGATTGAATGTAGGGGAGGGGAGATCCAATTTTATGTCATCTATAAGAAACCAACTTTAAAAATAATGGTATCAGCCAGGTGCAGTGACTCACGCCTGTAATTCCATCACTTTGGGAGGCCAAGGTTGGAGGATCACTTGAGCTCAGGAATTCAAGACCAGCCCAGGCAACATAGTGAGATCTTCATCTCTACAAAAAATAGAAAAATATTAGTCAGGCATTGTGCACATGTCTGTAGTCTCAGCTACTTGGAAGGCTGAGGCAGGAGGATTGTTTGAGCCTGGGAGGTCGAGGCTGCAGTGAGTGAGCTGTGAACACACCACTGCACTCCAGCTTGGGCAACAGAGCTAGATCCTGTCTCAAATAAATAAATAAATAATAAAAATAATGGTATAGCTAAATTTAAAATAAACAGATGAAAATACATATAATGCAAGTACTAATTAAAAGAAATCTGGGCCGGCGCAGTGGCTCACGCCTGTAATCCCAGCACTTTGGGAGGCTGAGGCGGGCGGATCACCTGAGGTCTGGAGTTCAAGACCAGCCTGACCAACATGGAGAAACCTGGTCTCTACTAAAAATACAAAATTAGCCGGGCGTGGTGGCGCGTGCCTGTAATCCTACCTACTCTGGAGGCTAAGGCAGGAGAATGGCTTGAACCCGGGAGGCGGAGGTTGCTGTGAGCCGAGATCACAACATTGCACTCCAGCCTGGGCAACGAGAGTAAAACTCCGTCTCAAAAAAGAAATCTGGACTGGGTGTGGTGGCTCATGCCTGTAATCCCAGCACTTTGGGAAGCCGCGGCAGGCGGATCATGAGGTCAGGAGTTCAAGGCCAGCCTGGCCAACATAGTGAAACCCTATCTCTACTAAAAACACACACAAAAAAATTAGCTGGGCATGGCCGGGCACGATGGCTCACGCCTGTAATCCCAGCACTTTGGGAGGCCAAGGTGGGCGAATCCTGAGGTCAGGAGATCAAGACCATCTGGGCTAACATGGTGAAACCCCGTCTCTACTAAAAATACAAAAAATTAGCCAGGCGTGGTGGCGGGCGCCTATAGTCCCAGCTACTCGGGAGGCTGAGGCAGGAGAATCACTTGAACCTGAAAGGCGGAGCTCACTCCGCTGCAGTGAGCTGAGATCGCACCATTGTACTCCAGCCCGGGCAACAGTGTGAGACTTCATCTCAAAAAAAAGAAAAGAAAAAAGGAAATCTGTATGTGGCTATTTTAATATAACACAAAGTAGACTTTATAATGAGGAAAATTACCAGAAATAAGGAGGGACATTATATAATAGTGAAAGATCTAATCCAGTAAGACATAACAATCCCAAATAAATCTGTACCTAACTACATAGCCTCAAAATACATGAAGCCAAACTGATAAAAACCAAAATGGGATATAGACAAATCTACAATTACAGTTGGATATTGTAACATTTTCCTCTCCATAACCAATGAACAAATAGGTAGAAAATTAGAAAGATATAGAAGATATTAATAACACCATCAGTCATACTGACCTAATTAATATTAATCACATGCTGTATCTAAGAAGAGCAGAATACACATTATTGTAAGTGCACATAGGATATTTACCAAGATAGGCCTTATTGTGAGTTATAAATAAATCATTAACAAATTTAAAATAATTAAAATAATACAAAAGTATGTTCTTTAACCATAATGGAATTATAGTAGAAATCAATATCAGAAAGATGTGTTAAAAAAACAAAACAAATACCTGGAAATTTAACATTCAAGTAATCCCTGCTTCAAAGAGAAAAATCTTAAAAGGAATTAGAAAATATTTTGAACTGAATTGAAAATGCAATTACATGTAAAAATTTGAGATGGAGCTAAAGTAGTATATAGGGAAAAAATATAGCATTAAATGTAAATATTAGGAAAAAAGAAAGGTCTCAAATTCAGCTTCCACATTATGAAATTAGAAAAGAAGAGCAAAATAAACCCAAAATAAGCAAAAGAAGGAAATAACAAGAATAAAAATCAGTAATATTGAAAACAAAACAATAGAGAAAACCAGTAAAAACAAAAGCTAGGTTTTTTTTAAGGGTCAATTAAATTAGTAAACTTTGTATCAGTTTGCTAGGGCCACATAACAAAGCACCAGAGACTGTGTAGCTTAAACAACAGAAACTTATTTTCTCACTATTCTGGAGTCTAGAAGTCTGGGATCAAGGTGAGAGCAAGGTTGCTTTCTTTTGCGGCCTCTCCCCTTGGTTTGCAGATGGTCATCTTCTCCCCTTGTCTGTACATGGTCTTTCCTCTAAGTTGTCTGGTTTTAATTTCCTCTTCTTACAATGACCTCATTCATATTCAATTAAGTCCCATCCTAATGAATTTACTTTAGCTTAATTACCTCTTTAAAGACATTATCTCCAAATACAGTCCCATTCTGAGGTACTGAGGGTTAGGAGTTCTACATATAAATTTGGAGGAACACAATTCAGTCCATAATACCATTCTAGTCAGGCTGATGAAGAAAAAAAAAGAGGCAAGACACCAATTAACAATATCAGAAATGAAAGAGAAACTATCACTAGAGACATGAGGAATGTTTAAAAGATAATAAAGAAAATATTTTGAACAACTCTATGCATAAAAATTCAACTTAGATAAAAAGAACCAATTCTTTAAAAATAGAAACTACCAAAACTCACTCAAGAAGAAACAGATAACTTGAGTAGCCCTATGGGTAGTAAATAAATTTGAATTCTTAGTAAAAACAAGCAAACAGGCCGGGCGTGGTGGCTCACACCTATAATCCCAGCACTTTGAGAGGCCGAGGGGGGTGGATCACAAGGTCAGGAGATCAAGACCATCCTGGCTAAAACAGTGAAATCCCATCTCTACTAAAAATACAAAAGATGAACCGGGTGTGGTGGCAGGCACCTGTAGTCCCAGCTACTCAGAAGGCTGAGGCAGGAGAATGGCAGGAACCCAGAGGCGGAACTTGCAGTGAGCCGAGATTGCGCCACTGCACTCCAGCCTGAGCGACAGAGCAATACTTCGTCTCAAAAAAAAAAAAAAAAAGCAAACAAACAAAACTCCAAGTCCAGATAGTTTCACTAGCAGTCACCAGTTTTATACAATCTCTACTGAAAAGAGAAGAAGGAGGGAAACTCCCCAACTTATCTGTGAACCCAGAATTACCCTGAGACCAAAACCAGATAATGATAGCACAAGAAAAGTATAAACTAATATCCCTCATGAACATAGAAGCAGAAGTCCTCATCAAAACAGTAGCAAGTCAAATCCAGCAATAGATTTTTAAAAATAATGCATCATAACCAAATAAGGTTTATCCCAAAAATGCAAAGCTGGCTCAACATTCAGAAATTCAAAACCTATCATAATAGCAAATTAAAAGAGAAAAAACATATAATCCTTATCAGTATATGCACAAAAAGCATTTGACAAAATTCAACATCCATTCATAATAAAATTCTCAGAAACAAGAAATGTGAGGGAAATTCCTTAATCTGATAAAGGGCATCTCCAAAAAAAAATCACAGCTAACATTACGTCTAACAGTGAAAGACTGAATGCTTTCCCCCTGAAATCAGGAAGAAGAAAAGGAAGTCCACTTTGACTAGTTTTATTCAACATTGCATTGAATCTTAATCAGTGCAATATGGCAAGAAAAGAAAGCACTTACTTCTTGGAAAGGAGGAAATAAAACTGTTCCTATACAGAGATAACAAGATTGTCAATGTAGAAAATCTCAAGGAATCTACAAAAATAGTCATAGAACCACTGAGTTTACACAGTGGGTTTCAAGATACAAAGCTAATATACAAAAATCAATTGTATTTCTATATACTAGTAATAAAATTTTGGAAACTAAAAATTTTTAAATCATTTACAACCGCTGGAAAAAAGGAAACAGGTAAAAATCTAGAAACTACATGCAAGATCTGGATGTTAAAAATTCTAATAAAGGATGTAAAAAGTGACTAAATAGAGAGTAATAGCATACTCATGGACCAAAAGACTTTAATATAGTGAAATTACCTATAGTTTCTAAATGAAACTATAGATTTAATGCAACCACAATGAAACTCTCAGAAACATTTTTTAAAATAAATATAGACAAATGATTCTAAAATACATATGGAAAGGCAAAGGGGCTAGAATAGCCAAAACAAAGTTGAAGAATTCACACTACTCAATTTAAAATCTTAGTAGGAGTCTACCATAATCGAAATGTATATTGGAAAAATTAGTATAACAGAAATCAATGGAACAAATTAGAGAATCTATATATAAAAGCACATAAATACGGTCAAGTGATTTTTTTTGTAGAAGTGAAAGGTATAAGTAGAGAAAGGATAATGTTTCCAACAAATGGTTCTAAAAAAATTAAACATACATATGCAAAAAAGAACCTATGCCTCAAACCATATATAAAAATTAACCCAAAATGGATCGTAGGCTTAATGTACATGTAAAAATACAAAACTTTTAGCAGGAAACATAGGAGAAAGTTTTTGTGACTTTGAGTGAGGCCGAGGGTTCTTGCATTTGACACCAAATATTTGATTAATAAAAGAAAAAGTTGATGAATTGAACTTCATCAAAGAAACACAAGAGATTGAAAAGACAAGCTACATACTGGGAGAAAATATTTGAAAAGCATGTATCTGAGAAAGCACCTGTATGCAGAACATATGAAGTACTCTCAAAATTCTACAGTAAGAAAACAAACAACCAAATATAAAAATGGGCAAAAAACTTGGGTATTCTTCTTTAAAGATTTGTGAATGAAAAGATGCTCAACATCATTAGTCATTAGGGGAATGAAAATTGTAGCCACAATGGGACACCACATCACAGCTACTGAATGGCTAAAATTCTAAAAACAAAACTGACAGTATCGATTGCTGGTGAGCATTTGGAGCAGGTGAATGCATATATTGCTGATGGGAATGCAAGATGTACAGCTACACCGGAAAACAACTTCTCATGCTGTTAAATACACATTATATTACTCAGCAATCCCACCCGTAGACATTTACTCTAAAGGAATGAAAACTGGCCAGGCGCGGTGGCTCACGCCTGTAATCCCAGCACTTTAGGAAGCCGAGGTGGGCGAATCACGAGGTCAGGAGATCAAGACCATCCTGGTTAACACGGTGAAACCCCGTCTCTACTAAAAATACAAAAAATTAGCTGGGCGTGGTGGCGGGCGCCTGTAGTCCCAGCTACTCAGGAGGCTGAGGCGAGAGAATGGTGTGAACCCAGGAGGCAGAGCTTGCAGTGAGCGGAGATTGCGCCCTGCACTCCAGCCTGGGCGACACAGCGAGACTCCATCTCAAAAAAACAACAACAAAAAAAAAACTTATGTTCACACAAAAACACAAATATTTATAACAGCACTATTCATACCATCAAAAAAATCAAAAGCAACCCAAATGTCCTTCAATGTGTAAGTGAATAAACAACCTATGGTACATCCATACAATAAACTGTACACCAATAAAGAGTGAACTTACTATATTTATATTTAAATTCAAAATAAAAGTAATTGCAATACACCTCTTTGAAAAAGTATTTGGTGGTAGGCACTGCAGGTGAACATATGTATACCCTATCGCTCAGCATTTTCACTGGGAGTAGATATAGAGACCTAGCAGAAATGCCTACATATATTCACCAGAAGATGTAACAGCACTGCAGAGTAGCCAAACCCCAGAAACCACCATATGTGCATTAGCTATAGAACAGATAAATAAATTGTGGTACAGTTATACAACAGAATGCTATAAGGCAATGAGAATAAACAGCTTATAGTTACACAACTCACAATCAATGTTAAGCCATAGAACTAGACACGAAAGCGTACATAATATATGAATTCACTCATAAAAGGCAAAACCGGCTGTGCGCAGTGGCTCACACCTGTAATCCCAGCACTTTGGGAGGCTGAGGCAGGTGGATCATGAGGTCAGGAGATGGAGACCATCCTGGCTAACACGGTGAAACCCCGTCTCCACTAAAAATACAAAAAAATTAGCCAGGCGTGGTGGCAGGCGCCTGTAGTCCCAGCTACTTGGGAGGCTGAGGCAGGAGAATTGTGTGGACCTGGGAGGGGTAGCTTGCAGTGAACTGAGATCGTGCCACTGCACTCCAGCCTGGGCAACAGAGCGAGACTCCATCTCAAAAAAAAAAAAAAAAAAAAAAAAAAGGCACAAACATGTGGCCGGGTGTGGTGGCTCACACCGGTAATCCCAGCACTTTGGGAGGCCGAGGCGGGTGGATCATGAGGTCAAGAGATCGAGACCATCCTGGCCAACATGGTGAAACCCCGTCTCTACTAAAAATACAAAAATTAGCTGGGCTTGGTGGCATCCGCCTGTAGTCCCAGCTACTCGGGAGGCTGCGGCAGGAGAATTGCTTGAACCCAGGAGGTGGAGGTTGCAGTGAGCTGAGATCACGCCACTGCACTCTAGCCTGGAGACAGAGCGAGACTCCATCTCAAAAAAAAAAAAAAAAGGCACAGACACAGGCAAAACTAATCAGTGGTGTTAGGAGTTGAGGCAGTGGGTGCCTTTGAGAGAATAGTAACTGTTTCTTGGTCAGAGTGGTCTGTTACAAGGGTGTGTTCCGTTTTTGAAAACTTGGTGATACATGCATTTGTGATTTGTGCACTTTTCTACATTTGAGTTGTAAATTTAATTTTTAAAAAGATTTAAATACAAAGTATTAAGCATTTATTCCAAATATTTGAGTCAAGAGCTCCAGAAAAATACACCAAGAGCTTCAAATAACCCTGGCAGACATGAGTCTGTGTTTTGCAGTTTGAGACACACACTCATAATGAAGAAGGAATTCATGAATTTTACAAGTATAATCAAAAACAACCAAAAATTTTTACTTTTTGCTTCAAAAGCTAAGTGTAGTGTAGCGCCCCCCGTAGTCTAAGTTGGAGAAGAATACTAACTGCCTGTTTTTCCTTCTGTGCTCAGCGAGCCCTATCTGTACTCCCCAGTTTCACATTCCTTGAGGCTCGGTGAGTTCCTGCTTCACCCCTCTAGCACAGCTGCAAAGTTACAAGGTTGATACAGAAACATGGTTTCCCAGGGATGTGGAACATACAGTATAGATAAATGTAAAAGACTCATCAACTGCCTTCGTTCTCGATTCTGTAAGTACACTTCCTGCATCACGTAGCTCCCAGCCACCGACTGCTTAAAAGGTGGCTGCTTTCTTTGTCCGGGGCTCAGACTTTCCTGGATGCTGGTCCTACTGAGCCAGGTGATCACCTTTTAATAAAGACCTTTCCTGAACTCACTCTGTTCGGTCTCTCCCATCTTTGATTGTCCCGCAACAATAATATTACTGTTAACCAATCCTCATAGTCTGCTTGGAAATAAACAGATTTTTTGCAATGCTCTATGGCTTACCCAGAAACCTCCAGATTTTTTTACTTTTTTGAAAAGTAAAAAATTTCTCTCTCTTTTTTGCCAAAGCAAAATAAGGTGTCAGTGATATCTTGGGGTTATAAGGGGTTAGGGTAGAAATGTTGACAGTGCAATGATTGTGAGCTGTGGGATAGCCTTCTCTGCTACCTATTCCAAATTAGCAATAAAAAGAAACAAACTTAATATGTGCAACAAGATAGATAAATCTCAAATGCATTATACCCAATAAAAGAAGTCAGACTCAAAAAGTTACATACTGCATGAATGGACAACA
The DNA here is from genome assembly GCF_000001405.40 of Homo sapiens. NCBI lineage: Eukaryota > Metazoa > Chordata > Mammalia > Primates > Hominidae > Homo > Homo sapiens. Next base: position 93,221,190 of record NC_000015.10, on the reverse strand, counting down.
AGTCAACAACCACACTCCCAAGTTCATGCATTACTATTCCAGACCACAAGATTTAAGAAAACTCCATTTTGATCCTTCTCTCTTCTCTTGCTTACTCACATTTTTTCTCTCTCCCTGTGTATCAGTCTGGATCAGCTAGATTATGCTGCAGTAACAAATAATCTCATCTCAGTGGTTCAGAAACAGTTTTATTTCTAACTCATTCTGCAGTCCATGGGGAGTTGGCAGAGCCTCTGCTTATCATAGCTGCTGTGGGGCCCCAGTGGGTTGCCATGCCAAAAGGAAAAAGATTTCTGGGGGTCTTGTGTGTCTCCAAAATAACCCATGTCCCTTTTGCTCACAAGACTTTGGTCAGAATTATTCCAATCACAATGGAGCCAAGAAGCGCAATCCTACCATGCGTTCAAGAGGAGAACTAGGAATATTTGTTGAACTTCGTTTTCTACCATTCCCTCCTCAATTCAAATTTCTAGAAGAATAGAGTGGGTTCCATCTCACTGTGTTGTCCCCTCCTGCTTCAATTATCTAGCCTATGGGCTGGTGGGGAAAGAGGAAACTGTATACTTCATATATATATGGGAACAGGAGATGGATGGATGAGGATGGGAGGACAATTCACAGAGTCACAGGCCAAGCAAATGTACCCCATAAGATATAGAAATAGGACCTCTGGGTGTGGGTGTGGTGGGGGACAGGTCTATATGGATTAAAAAGCACAAAACAAAGAGATGCAGATACAGAATGAAAATATTATTAACCAAAGCAGCTCATGCCCATTACCAAAACTCCAACCACACAGTATTCCTTCAGGGCAATGCTTCAACCATGTAGCCGTGGACATCCTTGCAAAGGAGGAAAAGGTTTTTTCTCTGAGTTAAACCATGATGGGGACTGAGCTCATAAAAGCACATTCAGATTTTTTTGCTGCTCCACTACATAATTTATGTCCTAGTCAGGCACAATTTTCATTTAATCAAGAGCTATCTTGTCTCCAACCTTTCAATTGGGAGTAACTTTGTACAAGATGAAAATAACCTCATCCATCATGATGATAGAAATTGTTCTATATCTTCCAGGCTTTTACTTCTGACAAAATGCCAGGAATCCTGCTTCCTTGGGTGGCTTATGGAAATGCAGCAGACCCAAATTTCATTAGGACTGTAATAGCATGTCCTGTCCATGGATTAATGTGTGCCAGATGTGCAGGTTCAACCACATCTGCAAGCACCAGCCACCTGCTCAGAGGAGTCGGCCTCCAAAGCCAAGGCAAGAGAAGGCTGCTAACATTTTATTTGCCCTCCACCCTGGAGCAAAAATAATAATAATAATAATAATAACTTAAAATGCGGCAGAGGGATTGCCTAGCTTTTATTCAAAGGGGTGATGGTTTACATGAAGCTACGTACCACTAGGTCTTTCCAAGCATCTTTCTTGGACTTCTGCACCAATGTATTTAAAGGCTGAAAACCAAAGTTCCCATCCCATCACAGTGATCTTGGATAAATTCCTCGGCATCCGTGAGCTTTGCATTCCTTGTCTGTAAAATGACAGCAACAACACGAACTTGCAGGGTGGCAGTGAAAATGAAATGAGATGAAACAGAAGAAATTGCATTGCACAGTGAGAGGAGCATAGTAATTGCTCAATAAATGTTGTCCAGTCCACATTTGCGATTTTTTTTTAAGTCACATAGGTAGGGCCAAGACTGCGCTTGGATCCAGTGTGCTTGGGCCAGTGGGCTTGGATCTTGCTTTCATTCTCAAACCTGTCACCCTTCACATACACACTCAATCTCTCTCTCATGCACACACACTCTCTCTCTCAGCTTTGTTTGGGCCTGTACTATAGTGCAGGGGTTGGCTTGAGAGGCAGGAGGAACAGAAGGGCCCAGGCAAGTCATTTCTGAAAGTAAAAGTCAGAAACAGAGACATGGCAGAATGCAGGCCTAATCTACCCCTCTTCACTTCACTCACGTGGCCTGCAGAGCACATGGCAGTGCTGACAGGAATCTATGCACATATGCACTACCCACATACCCCTAAGCAATATATGGTTTAGTTTTGATTGTTTTTAATCTTTATATAAATGAAGCCATCCTTATCTATTCCTGTATGACTTTTGTTTTTCATTCAACATTATTTTTCTGAGATTCATTCATGTTAATGCATGAAGCTGTAATTTTTCCTGTTCACTACTGTATAATATTTCATTGTGTGACTATACCAGAATGTATTCTACCACTGATAAACATCCGTGCTGTTTCCAATTTTTTGCTATTATAAACAGTGCTGCAATGAACATTCCTGTATTGGTGCATATGATCAAAAGATTCTCCAATACATATGGCTAGAAGAACACTGCTGGATCAAAGGTTATGCCTAATTTTGACTTTAGCTAAGCTATTTTGACTTTTGACTATAGCGTCAAATTATTTTTCCAAAGATCTTCTTCCAGTTCACAGTCTAATTTCCTATTTCTTGGCAGAAATGTTGAAAACTACCTTGGAGAATGTTATTCCTAGATTTTTTGAGCTTAATCTCTGAATTTCATTTACCTTAGTGGCCCGTCAAGCTGTCTCCAACATTTCAGAAGCCACATTAATGTGAGAAAACTATGAGAATTATATCCAATTTGTTTCTTTCTTTACTAGAAATTAAGCTATCTACTCTTGCAATGGAATACTTTGAAGAAATGATGGCAAGTAGCCTAAATCGCTCTTTTTCTTCAATACTTAAGAATGTAACTAAAAATTCATACCAACTGGCCGGGCGCAGTGGCTCATGCCTGTAATCCCAGCACTTTGGGAGGCTGAGGTGAGCGGATCATAAAGTCAAGAAATTGAGACCACTCTGGCCAACATGGTGAAACCCTGTCTCTACTAAAAATACAAAAATTAGATGGGCGTGGTGACGCGTGCCTGTAGTCCCAGCTACTCAGGAGGCTGAGGAAGGAGAAGCATTTGAACCTGGGAAGCAGAGGTTGCAGTGAGCCGAGATCGCGCCACTGCATTCCAGCCCGGCGACACAGCAAGACTCTGTCTCAAAAAGAAAAAAAAGAAAAAAAAATTCACACCAATTATCCAGTTGATTTTTAAGTGCAAAATGCAAGAATTCCCAATATTAGGTCACAAGGACAGGTTTTGCCTATTTTCAATGCTAATACATAATTAAACTTCCATCTATGTTTTAAGATTGTTTTTCTCAACCAAGTCTGATGAATTATATAATTTGTGATGTACCTGTTGACAAATCATGCTTCTTTTACATAATTAAAGTAAATGAAACAGTATGCATCACTTATTAGCTGGGTGTTTAAAAAATCTTACAGTCAATTTTTATAACATATAACATGCAAAAATGACAAAATGTGGTGCTTTTTTTTAAGAAATTTCTACAGGATGGGGAGGGGTAAGAGATTGCACACTTTCGGAAGGAAACAGCAGGTGCAAACTTTTGCAAAGCACCTCTCTGCACTACACACCCTCCTCCCCTCTCCACCTCATGTGACCATGGACAAATCAGACACATTGGGAAAGACACACCCTAATCTGTTTCCATGGCCCTATGAGAAGCACAGATTTGGAAATACAATTCCCAGCAAGCCCAGGCATTTTAATGAGCCATGGCCAACTGGAGTGACAGAATCCTTCAGCCATGTCAAATGCCACCACAGCTGGCCCAGGGCAAAAGAAAGTGCCTCCTCCCTGGGACACCACCCTGTGTCCCAACCACATGAGATAAAAATGCAGAGTGCATTTCCCAGCTTCCCTCAGGACCCAGGAGAAATGCAGGCTAAATGCAGAGCAGGGAGCCTTGGCATCTCAGGCCAAGTTGGAATGCCGAACCATTCAAGGAACACCAGCCAAGGCAGGAAATGGGCAGGGAAGGGGCTAAGAGCAAACCTAATCAGTCCAGCAACCTTGCAAATGACATTTGGAAGTGCAAAGTCGTTCTGAGTTCCAGAACAAGAAATATCTTTAGATGTTGAAATGGCTTTTGCCAAATGCCAACCTGCTGAATTTGTTTTTCTTTTGGTTCATTAAAAAAGAATAACCATTTGTGCATTTATGAAAAGAAATATTACCTTCCCAGGGTCTACAGGCAACTACCTGGAATTTGGCGTAGTCTCTCCTTGTGAGCTGTTTTTTTTTCTTTATATCAGCAAATATTGATTGACTATGGTGTGTCAAGGCAACGGAGAAACAGTCCCTACTCTCAAAGAGCTTCTAGTGTGGTGCGTGGACAGAATGAAATGCAGACGATTACGATGCAACATGGCCTGCGGCTCATTCTACAGAAGTGGTGACCACCACGCTACAAAAGCAAGCCGAAGGAAGTGGGAGGAAGTTCCAGGTACAAAGTTTCTGCATACAAAGAGGCACGAGGAGGTGGCAGAATCAGTGCCAGGCTCTGCTAAAAGCACTGGGCATATATGAACCTATTTTATCCTCAACAACCCATGCAGGTGCTGCTACCATCTTCACTTTACAAATGAAGAAACTGAGGTACAGGAAGGTTGATTGACTTCCCCAAGATCCCCCAGCCAGGAATTGGCTGAAAGTAGTTCAAAATGGTTGGAGCATATTAGGGGTCTGAGAGGGTGAGGGGAATGAGGGGGAAACAGGTTGTCAAGACATATAAAATCAGGAAGAAGCCAAATTGTGAAGGTCCACACATATCATGTTGGGAATTTGCAAGCATGTAAGCAACCCCTGAAGAAGTTCAAGGGGGTAATGCTAGGAGCTGAGGTGGGCTCTAGAAAGCTTACGCCATGTATCTTGTGGAAATTAGATTGAATGCAAGCAAGGTTAGTGGAGGGTGAGGGGACCAATCTAGTGAGAGGTAATGGTGGCCTGAACTAGAGGAGTAGCAGTGGGGGTGACAGGCATTTGGATAATTCCAGGGACCTTTGCTAAGTAGAATCAACTGGACAATAGCTGATGAAATGGGAGAGTTAAGGCGGGGCAGGGGTCGGGGTACGGAGGCCAGCTTCCAGGCTCCTGGCGCGAGCTCCACACAGATTATTGGACCACCAGAAGAATTCTCTCAGATCTGAGAATAACAACAATGGAACTGGCCCTGTTCTTCAACTATTTACTAGCACCAGGCTGGACACTTAGAAGAATACTTCTGTCTTAGAAGTATTCTTCTGGCTCTGCCAATGTGACCAGAATGTTCCCAGAGATAGGCACTCCCTCCTCCACACTCATTTCTCTAAGTCTTCGTGCTCTGTGTTTCTGGACATACCGTTTTAACAGGTCCTGGCTTTAGCCATCCCAGGAGGAATGTATGACCCCAGAGTCCTGGTGAAGAATGAGCAGATACACCCAGTGGCCTCTAGACTTTTCCATCACAACCCATCATGTCTGCATTCTTTTTTAAACCCAAATCAGACTTGGGCCCACGCATATTTTCCCAACACTTTAAAGCCACGTGTGGGTTTTCAGTGAAATTGAATCTGTATGTTTCTGATCCTTCTACACTTCAGTCATTCCCGTGATTTGAGGAAACAGCTACTTGACATCCAGGAAACCTTCCCGGACATTTCATGACATTTCAAAGCCTCCTTTTCTCCTGTCTTAGACATAGGAAGCAACAACCTGCCAAGTATAAGCAAAACCCCTTCTCCAAGATGCTTGAGTCTGATTTTAAATGTCTTTCTCTGTAAGAGTTAGAGAAAAGAAAGCAAGAGATGAGGTAAGAGCAGAAAGCCTACGGAGAGAAGGAACAAAGAAACCAGCAACATGAAAAGTCCCAGTCATCAGACTAAGAAACTACTGTCACCATTTTGGTATTTGTTTAGGGTATTTGTTTATTAATTTGTTCCCAAGCCCTTTCACATAGAATTTGAAGTGGCAACAAGATAACCATAAAACAGAACCTGTAAGTAAAAAAATTATCAGAACCATTGCTTGAGGCCAGGAGTTTGAGATCACCCTGGGCAACATAGCAGGACCACCATCTCTACAAAAAAAAAAAAAAAATAGCTACGCATGGTGGCACACACGTAGTCCCAGCTAGTCAGGAGGCTGAGGTGGGAGGATGGCTTGAGCCCGGGAGCTTGAGGTAACAGTGAGCCATGATCACACCACTGCACTCCAGCCTGGGCAACACAGTGAGACCCTATCTCTTTTAAAAATCAAATAAATTGGCCGGGAGCAGTGGCTCACGTCTGTAATCCCAGCACTTTGGGAGGCCAAGGTGGGCGGATCACGAGGTCAGGAGATCGAGACCATCCTGGCTAACACGGTGAAACCCTGTCTCCACTAAAAAATAAATAAATAAATAAATAAAATTAGCCGGGCGTGGTGGTGGGCGCCTGTAGTCCCAGCTACTCGGGAGGCAGGAGAATGGCGTGAACCCAGGAGGCGGAGCTTGCAGTGAGCCGTGATCACGCCACTGCACTCCAGTCTGGGTGACGGAGCAAGACTCCATCTCAAAGAAAAAAAAAATCAAATAAATAAAATATCAGAGTAAAATAAAATAAAAATATCAGAACCAAAGAAATCCAAACTGCATTGGGAGGTATAGGCTTCCAGTTCAAGATGGCAGCCTGAGATCAGCCTGTCCATCATCTTCTATCTCTTCCAAGAACCTCTACAATAAAAATATAAAAGGACAGAAATGAATATGCCTACATAGTAACTGTGTCACTGGGGACTCTAATGAGCTAGAATTGAACCCATGCAGAGCAGTCCTAAAGCCTTTGAGCCCTCCACCACGCTAGGTGCCCAGCATGCAGGAGGGAACAACAAATTGGGTCAAATAAAGCTAAAGCCAATAAACATGTTTAATATGGTTTTAAAATAAAAAGCATCCATGTTCAGGCATCTGTGCTAATTATCCACAAGGAATAGTGCCTTCTGGTGCTGAGCCAATCCACAAGCAATGAGGCCGCCATATGCCTCTTTCTTCCTGGCTGGGGGGAAACAAAGCTCCATCTCTATGCAAATTGAAACAGACCTCCTTAAACCTGACCATGTGCTTAACTGCACGTGAGGCACAAATTCCACAAAGAAACCCAAAATCAAATCACCACTGAGAGTTTTTCCTGAGAAGTCCAGCAACCAAGATTTTCTCCCTGGAGAAGTTGAAAGAAAGCAGCTTGTTAACAACTGGGAAAATAATACCAAGCAACCCTGAACTGCCAAAGAGGAGGGGTGGAAACCAAAGGCCAATTCCAGACCATTCCAGATAATTAGCCTCTGTGATCAGACTGACTAGAGTGGCCCAAATTCCCCATCTCCAAGACTCAGTTTCCTCATCTGTAAATGGCAACAGTAACATGACCCAACCACAGAGACCCTGCAGAGTCCAAGCACAGAATGTACTCAATGGCTTAGGACAGCATCTGCCATTTTGGAAGTATTCTAGAAGCAGCTTTTACCATTATTACTCTTAGTATAAAATATTTACAAATTTTATTTTTAATTACAATAGATAATGAAGAGCCATAAATACAGAAAACTATTTGTCTGTGCCATGGGCTCTGTGATCTTGCAAAGTTCCACCAAGTGGTCTTCCCCTACTTAGTTCTTCCCAGGCCAGGCTCCAGGTCCAAGCTCTTCCCAGAGCTGGTTGTCAGTTTCTAATTATTTTTAGATCCTGGCTGAGTGATTTCTGTCCTTTTTCATAAGGGCTGGATGACAGCTTGCCACTAAGAATAGCACTTCAGTTTAATCAGCAAGTCGCCAGGCTTTGTGACCATGCCGGCACTCATGGGAGGTCAGCTGGCTGTGCTCATCTGCAGACCTCAGTTGCCCACACAGACATTGGCTGGGCCCGCTGCCCTCACCATTGCCACATCCTGCTCTTTATGGACCTTTCAGGACACCCAGAAGAGGTGTAGAAATGTCCCCTCTCGGGAGAGAAAGGGAGGGAAGGTGGGAGAAGCCTACACCCAGAATCGCTGGCATCTCTTCTGAGATCTTTGAACCTGGAACTAATAGAATTGGACTATATAGAGAATTTAGGCTCAAAACTCACCTTCAGACTGGAACATCGGAAAGTGGTCTTCCTTAGGAAGGGTGAATGCAGCCTTTTATTCAGATGGGCAGGGCGAAGTGTTATACAGGAACCCTCCCCATATCCTGTTCTCACAGGCATTCATACCTCCATTTTACAGAGAGGACACGGGGCTCACAGAGGTTGAGTCACTTGCTCAGGGTCACAGAGCTGGGCAGTGAAAAGGTGGGATTTGAACCCACATATTCCAGTTCATGTCCAGCGCTCTTCTTAGTACTCCAAGCTGTTCAGGACCTGTCACAATCCCAAAGCCAGTTCTGAATGAGCAGATTGTTCACCCCACTCCACTAAGTCATTCCAGCCCAGTGCCACATTCTGCACCCTCCTTCCACTTGCTGTCACTCACCTTAAGGCCTTGGGGCCCATACGTGCCGTCACTGGCCTAGTACGCCCAATGGGTCCCCATAGACCTTTCAGCAGTTCCCATGCAGTCTGCGCCTCCCAAAAGCTGGGGACATGCCCCTTACCAGGTAACATCATGAAAAGAAGAAATTCTACCTCAAAATGAGGCTCTACAGTTTGATGTGTGGGTTCAGATCTCAATTGTTCATGCCCTTTCACTCAGCAACACCACTTCCACATAAAAGAAGAGAACTTCTCTTCTATATAAAGGGAGAGAACTTATGAACAAGAGGTTCTTGACAGACTTTGAACAGTAGAGGACTGAAACCACCTAGGAACAGGCGAGCTGCGTAGCCTAATGTCTTAGTCTGTTTGGGCTGCTATAACAAAATAACATAGTCTAGTACACTGACCAGTCTTATAAACAACAGAAATTTATTTCTCACAGTTCTGGAGGCTGGGAAGTCCAAGATCAAGGCACCAGCAGATTCAGTATCTGGTGAGGTCCACATTCCTGGTTCATAGACTGTGACTTCTCCCTGTGTCTTCACATGGTAGAAGGGGCAAATGCACTCCCTTGAGTCTCTTTTATAAGGGCACTAATGCCATTCACAAGGGCTTTATCCTCACGACCTAATCACTCTCAAAGGCTCCACGTCATAGTGCCATTACCTTGGGGGTTAGGATTTCAACATATGAATTTTGGGGAGGGACACAAACATTTAGACCACAGCACATATTATTACATATGCACAAGCTAAAATGATATGGGAAGTAAAAGCCATGTTAAAGAATGTTTATGATGTGGAAAATACATACGATATGAATGCATAAGATGCATATGCTAGGATCCCAGTTACTTATGCTAAACACACACACAATATGAACATGTTCGCTCTTTGATTCAAATACGCATCACCTACTATGTTCTCAGCAGTAGAGATAAAACAGAGAACACCACAGACAAAAGCGTTGGTCCTTGTGGTGCTGACATGCTTCAGAGGAGGGGGCAGAAATAGACAATCAACAGAATAAGTAAGTAACAACTGTAGCATATCAGTGACACCTGCACTGGTGAAAACTGAAGGAGGAAGTAGGGAATGATGGTGGAGTGGGAGCGACTGCAATGGGCATGGCGGTTCACACCTGTAATCCCAGCACTTTGGGAGGCCGAGATGGATGGATCACTGGATGGTCAGGAGATCGAGACCAGCCTGGCCACCATGAGGAAACCCTGTCTCTACTAAAAATACAAAAATTAGCCGGGCCTGGTGGCATGTGGCTGTAATCCCAGCTACTCAGAAGGCTGAGATGGGAGGACTGCTTGAACCCAGGAGGCAGAGGTTGCAGTGAGCCAAGACTGCGCCACCACACTCCAGCCTGGGTGACGGAGTGAGACTGTCTCAAAAAAAATTAAAAATAAAAATAAACTTGCAGGTGAGAAAGTCCTCCATGAGAAGCAAAGAACCTCCTTCAGGAGGTGAGGGGCCAGTCATGAGCACATGCTGAGCTAGAGAGTTCCAAGCAGGGGGAAAATGAGTAAGTGTCAAACCCCCGGAGGCAAGAACCAGCCTGGCTGAGTCATGGGAAGGTCAGTGAGCCCAGTGATCTCAGCCCAAGGGGGCAGGGGCTTAGCACCCAGAGAAGAGGCCAGCAGCGGGTAAGAAGGTTTCGGTTCACAGACATGGAAAACCACTGGGGCTTCAGCCGAACAGCATGATCTGAATATGTTGTAACAGGATCGTCCTGCCTGCTGGTGTTGTTCCATCAGCACATCAGCAATTAGTTGCTTTGATGGTAGGAAGGGGTGTGTATGTGAGAGAGATATATCTATATCTATATCTATATTTATCAGGCTATATATATATATATATATATATATATATATATATATATATAACAAGTGCGTTTGATAGGATCTCCAGTTACACTAAACATATAGGTAATCTGAATATGTTCATTCATTGATTCAGCAGATATGTATTACCTACTATGTGCCAGGCAGTAATCTCAGCCTCTCAGTTTATGTATATATATAAAACTCATTACTTTAGCAAAAGAAGAGCAATATAATAAAATGAAACAAAAAAAATTAAAGCAGGCCAGACATTGCAAAGTGCCTTGAATTTCTCATAAATAGATACCAGATTTCGTGGTATATGTGAGGTGCAAATATTAATGTACCTAAACTTGACCAATAGCATTAATCAGTTTCATTTATTCTGATAGTAACATATCAAAGTATGAAAAACACACACATAAAAAATGCTCTTCCTCATTTTCTGCCAAATTCCTAGAATTCCTTCCTGATCCACTTGAAATATTACCTGTGTGACAACTTCATATTCTCCTGATCCCCACCACCATTGCCCCCACACCCCCCACAGAAGAGAAATTGCTTTCTCTTCTGTGTTTCTATAGAACTTTCTATAAACCAGTATCATAGAATGGTTCCTAATTTTTTATCTCTGCTGGAATAAGTGCTTATTGTCTTTATATCCTCAGCTCCCAGCACAGGGCAGAAAACATTTTGCCAATGGGACCACACTCTCTCCTCCAATCACAACTTTCTTTCCCACTGAGCCTAGGTGTGAATTCAGTCAGAATGCTTTTCAACACCGTGAAATCAGCAGCTGGAGGTGGCAAGCTAAATGAAGTCCAACTGCCAATCAGACTTACCTTAGTGCCTTGGAGCAAGGTAGGTGATGCACCTTCAAGTTTTGTTGATTAAACAAGTAAAACGAAAAACTATTGTTAGGTTTCTGTAAAGAAGAATAGTAGATGAATAAAGTAATGCAAATGCCCACACTATAAAAACTAGGACAGGCATATAAATGACCAATTGGCAAATTCAGACACGAAAACAATAGCTCTGGAAATTCACCCAAACGCACTCAACCACAATGATGTAACTGCAGTTAGATCAGACATGTTGCTGAAACCAATTAGGCTGATCAACTGCTGTGAGTCACGATCGAATGATAGCCGTTATGTCAATATATGTTGGCAAGAAGTAGCTGTGCTAGAATTCTGGCATGCGTGATCTCGCTACGATCATACAGTTTACGAAAAAGTATAAGTAAAAGCATTAATACAGTACTGAAAGGTGCCCTCAACATTTATGATAAATTGGCAACAGCATGTTCTTGGGAAGAGCCCAGAACACGTCAACTTAATGCTGACCCAAAGGCTAACTATTTTTTAATTTATAAAGTAATAAAGCAGCTAAAAATGCATTGATACAATTATCACACTTAGTAAGGACACTAATAAGACTTTTCAAAGTTTGTAAAAGCTCTGAGAGAGGAGTTGTTTTTAAAAAGAAAAAAATGTAACAGAAGCCCAACTTGTTTCTGTTCAGATCTCCATAGACTGCTCAGTCAACAGAGAGTGACATGTTGCAATGAGTTAGCCCCAAGTTCATCTTCCAGAGCATTTAACTGGTGCGGCACATTTGAATCATCTGGGAAGTTTTGAAAAACATACTCATGCTCAGGGCCTACCTGAAAAGTTCAGTTTCTCTTAATCAAAGAGGACCTGGACATCAGTATTTTCAACAGATCCCCAGATCTGAGAGGCGCAGTTCTAACCTTTACAACGGTACTTCAATATCTGTTCAAGACAAGACCCCAGAAAGGATATCTGGACAGGAATGTCAACAGCAAATTTTAATCACCCCAAGGCTGCACTGTCCAATAATGTCGCTACTTTGGCAGTTGAGTCCTTGAAATGTGGCCAGTGCCCTTGACAAACAGAATTTTTATTTTATTGTAATAAATTTAAATTAAAAAACTGATACTCAATTTAATTCTTAGAAAACCAGTCGGGCGCAATGGCTCACGCTTGTAATCCCAGCACTTTGGGAGGCCAAGGCAGGTGGATCACTGAGGTCAGGGGTTTGAGACCAGCCTGGCCAACATGGTGAAACCCAGTCTCTACTAAAAATATGAAAACTAGCCGGGCGTGGTGGCGCACCCGAGTAATCCCAGTTACTCGGGAGGCTGAGGCAGGAGAATCACTTGAACCTGGGCAGCAGAGGTTGCAGTGAGTGGAGATCGTGCCACTGCACTCCAGCCTGGGCAACAGAGCAAGACTCCATCTCGGAAAAAAAAACAAAAACAAAACAAAACAAAAAAAACCTTTAAATATATTTGGAACAACTTGGGTATACAAATCTACTTTTCAACCGTAAATTTTGTGAACTCTAAATACAGATCAAGTATTTCTGGTAAAAATTCCATGTCTGAATTGAGATGTGCTGTAAGTGTAAATCACAGACTGGATTTCAAAGACTTTCTACCAAAAAGAAATGTAAGTATCTCCTTAATAATTTTTTATATTGATTCTATGTTGAAAAGGTAATATTTTTGATATAGTGAATTAAATGAAATTATGTTGTCAAAATTCATTTCTCCTATTCTGATCACTTTCTAAATGTAGCTACTAGGAAATTTTTTACTACATAAATGTGTGGCATTATATTTCTATTGGTCAGTACTCTAAGAGATTTGGGTATCAAAAAGAGCACTGAAGAAAAATGTTTTGAAAAGCAAATAGCCAGCTCCTAATTCCAATTTTGCATTCATCAGGAATTTTCTTGAGTCAGTGAGTACTTACCTGCGTTAGACCATGTGCTAACATTGAACTAGATGTTTCATAGCAGAAATGGTCAAAGAGGATATTATGCCCACTTGCAAAAAATCAACCCTTAGTAGAAGCCACAAACTCAAGATACCATGTACTTTCAAATTCATTCATTCATTTTTTTTTTTTTTTTCGATACAGGGTCTCGCTCCATCACCCAGGCTGGAGTGCAGTGGCACAATCATAATTCACTGCAGCCTCAACCTCCCGGACTCAAGCAGTCCTCCCACCTCAGCCTCCCGAGTAGCTGGGACTATAGGCATGTGCCACCATGCCTGGTTAATTTTTTTATTTTTTATTTTTGTAGAGACAGGGTCTCACTATGTTGCCAAGGCTGGTTTTGAACTCTTGGATGCAATTACAGCCACTGCGCCCAGCCTCAGATGCTTCAGATTAATTTTTTTTTTGTGGGGGGGGATGGAGTCTTCCTCTGTCCCCCAGGCTGGAGTGCAATGGCGCAATCTCGGCTCACTGCAACCTCTGCCTCCCGGGTTCCAGCGATTCTCCTGCCTCAGCCTCCCGAGTAGCTGGGATTACAGGCGACTGCCATGACGCCCAGCTAATTTTTGTATTTTCAGTAGAGATGGGGTTTCACCATGTTGGCCAGGCTGGTCTCGATCTCCTGACCTCAGGTGATCTCTCCGCCTCAGCCTCCCAAAGTGCTGAGATTACAGGCGTGAGCCACCACATCTGGTCAGATTCATTCTTTCATTCAAGGGTTCCCAACAACCCTGTAAGTTATGATCATTATTATTACTATACCCATTGTACAGGTGAGGAAACAGGCTCACAGTAACCTGCCCAGGACCACACCACTGGTATGTTGCGACAACAGGACTTGGACCCAGGTCTTCCAAACCCAAATTTTCAGCTCTTTCTGCTTCATCGTACAGCCTTTCTGAAATATGTTCTATTAGTTAGAAATTCATTGTCCATGACTTTTTCCCTAAATACAAGCTTCTTCTCTGAACAAACCACAACTCTGCCCAGTTGAACAGTTAAGAGTGTCAGAAAACTCAGCAAACAGCTCCCCTCTCCAACTCTGAAAGCAGCATCTTAGCCAAGAGCCTATGCAGGGCCTGGGCCCTCGGGAAGTGTATGTAATGTGGGGTGGGCCTCCTCTCTGTTTGCCTAGGACTCATGTAAAGTGTAGCCTCTGAGAAATGCTTGGGAGAGCTGCCTTTCTAGGCTGCTGGGACCAGATAGCATCATCATTTGATTCCTGGACTCAAATAAAAATAAATGCAGAGAACAGAAATCTGAACATCTCTAACAAAGCTACTTCAAAACAGAAAACTGAAGGTGGCGGGGTGTTGTAACCCATCCATCAGCAGATCTTTACTGAGCACGCATGGGGAACCCAGCTCTGGATTAAGCCCTCGGGAGCCTTTATTAATGAAAAGTCCCATTTTCTGTGATGGGATCCATAGAAGCCCAAACCTCAGCACCACCCGATATACCCTGGTAACAAACCTGCACACGTGCCCCCTGAATCTACAATAAAAACGGAATTGTTTTCAAAGTCCCGTTTTCCAAACCCAAAGGACTTTTTCAGAGATAGCCTGTGAACAGATTTCAAAGGCAAACTGAGATTGAGGTAAACTGCAGCCTTGGGGCGTGGCTTTCGGTACAGACTATGGGAATTCAGGTCCAAGAGGCACTCAGCATGCTTTAGGGCTGTGGTCGGCTTGGGTGTCAGCTCTGGGCTGACAATGTTCGATTGTGAAGCCCCACCAGGAGCAGTGGGGAGGTTTGGAAAATGCTGAGCAGCATGCAGGGCAGCGAGCAGGGAAAAAAAGGTCCCCTCTGCTCTGCCAGGCCCTCTCCTGTTGCTTCCAGCCTTGGCCAGGCTCACCCAAAGCCAGACCTGAGCTATGGCTAGGGGTGCATGATCCGTGCATGTCCTGTGCATGGCAGGTGAGCGCCTTTGGCAGATCATCAAGAAACTAGGGACCTCTTGGGGCTCTAGAATTTGCATAAAGATCATGACTGTCTTTGTAGCATAAGCTAAGATACCTCTCCTAACTTATTGAACCCAGAGGAGTTCCACACAATGTGTGTGTGTGCAGGTGAGAAGCTATGTACCTTATTTGTGAGTGAGAGTGTGTGTGTGTGTGTCCATGTTGATGTCCAGGGCCTTAGAGTTTTATATAAGGAAACCCTGGGAGTAAAACCATGTTCTTTGTGGGAAAGGGGCATGGTCATTAATTCGACACCGAACACTACTTACCAAGCACAGCGATAGGAAGATTTAATGAGATCATTTATGTGAAAGCACTTGGTAAGAGAAGATCCCTCAAGTATCAAGGATTGTTATTATGTTAACACGTTCTGATGATCAAATGGAAAAAGTAGTAAATTACAGAAAGGAGAGATGAAAGTGTGGGAAAGGAATTCAGAAGCTAGGATTTGAAAGAGACATTTTAGGCAAAAAATTGAGAGGGCCTGTAAAAAAAAAAAAAAAAAAAAAGAGCCCCTTCCAGCTGCAGAGAGGGTTGGGAGCCATTTCCCTGAAGACACACCACCTGGCTCCCTGCAGCTATTTGTTGCAACCTCACACTTCCGGGATTGCTCTGATGCCCTTCACTTCAAGCGCAGAGACAAAGCTCCAGCTGAGATCCCGAGAACCGAAGGCAAAACTGAAGAGAGGGTTGATATCGTTCAGCAGCAGAACACGCAGAAACAAACAAATACACAAACCACACACCTTGGATTTACCAGAAAATAACATAAGCCAACGGGAGACAAGAAAGGGACGGTAGTAATTTCCGATTGCTGCTTAACAAATTGCCACAGGTTTCCCAGATGAAAACAACCCCTTATTTATTCTCATTGGTCTGGAGGTCAGAGGTCTAAAGTCAAGGCATCAACAAGGCTGTGTTCCTCCTGGAGGCTCTCGGGGACAATCTGTTCCCTTGCCTTTTCCAGCTTCTAGGGGCCACCTGCATTCCTTGGCTTGTGACACCTTGTGGTGCCAAGCCCCAGTAGACTCCAATGGGGAGGACCCCATGTTCAAAAGGCCAAAGAAGAGACCTGGAGCCAGTAAATAAGACATGGGGTTTTATCGAGAGCTTACAAACAGGGAAGTGAGTCCAGTGGCAGCAGGCTGGGCAGAAGAACTGCAAGCACTTATAAAAGGCATGCAGTCTATATAGCATTTTCACTTAGCGCCCTCCCCCAAACAATCTTCACCTGGCAAACTTCATTTTACCCAAAATAAAAGGCCTTGATCCCCTATACAGCCTGCATTCCATGGGCCAGGCCGGGGTCTCAGATGTTCCTCATAAATAAGGAATGGATCTCCAGGGTGGTCGCTACTCCCGGATTTCTTAGCCTGGGACTCCGAACACACATTCAGGTGCATCTGCCATACGGAGTGTATTAGTCCATTTTCACACTGCTATAAAGATACTACCGGAGACTGGGTAACTTATAAAGGAAAGAGGTTGAATTGACTCACAGTTCCGCATGGCTGGAGAGGCCTCAGGAAACTTACAGTCATGGTGGAAAGCAAAGGGGAAGCAAGGCACATCTACCATGGTAGCAGGAGAGAGAGGCCGCAAAGGAGAAGTGCCACACTTTTAAACCATCAGATCACATGAGAACTCACTATCATGAGAACAGCATGGGGGAAACTGCCCCCACAATCCAATCACCTCCCACCAGGTCCCTCCCTCCACATGTGGGGATTACAATCCGAGAAGAGATTTGGGTGGGGACCCAAAGCCAAACCATATCAGAGGGTCATTGTTAGTGTATGCTCAAGTCAAGTTATCACCGTCAGGTGCGTTTATCATACACACCTTCCTCCATCTTCAAAGCCAACAGCATAGCATCTTCTAGTCTCTCTCTCTGTCTCTCTCTATCTCTGTCTCTCTCTCTCTCTGTCTCTCTCTCTCTGTCTGTCTGTCTGTCTCTCTCTCTCTCTCTCTCTCTCTCTCTGTGCTTCCATCGTCACAGAACCTTTTTCTTTCTTATAAGGACCACTGTGATTACACCGGGCCCATCTAGCTAATCCAGGATAATTTCCCCATACGATTTCTAACTTAATCATATCAGCAAAGTCCCTTTTACTATGTGAAAAGTATCATATTCACAGGTTCCAGGGATTAGAACGTGGACATTTTGGAGGGGACATTGTTCAGCCTACCACAGTGACTATCTCAGGCTATATAAATGAAGGTATTATGCTCAGAAAAAAGAAGGTGATGGAGTCTGTTCCTTTCTATCCTGGAGTCTGTTCACTCCTAGGGACTTCATCTTCAAAGGAATGGAGAGCACCTATTACAAAGCAAACACGGTATTATTTTATTATAACATTAAATAAATGTTGGAGAAAGTGTCGGAAAACAAATCTTCCTACAGGTAGTTGGAAGCAGCGTCAATTATTTTAAAAATTTTGGAGGGTAATCTGGCAACATACAGCAAAAGTTTCTCAGATGTTCATTTCTATTGATCTAGAGATTTTACTTCCGCAGATTTATCCTAAGGAAATAAACATGAACATGTGCAAAGATTTACTGACAAGGATATTCACCAAAGTACTTTCAAAGTCATAAGAAGAAAGTAAATTGGGAGGAAAAACTAACTTCCTCAAAGTTGAAATAAACTCTGGTACATTTGTTTTAAAATATATCTAAAACCTACTTAGCCATTCATCACGTTGTAGAGGAATATTTAACAACATGAAAAGAGGTTTTCCATATCCCAAGAAATGACCTAGCAGGTTATATGTCAGTGTGCAGAGTCTGTTTCTTATTTGCAAAATACAATCATATCAGTTTTAAGTTCCTACTGGAAACAGCACTCAACTAGGACAACGGGAGGATGGGTCATTGACAAAGGGGTAGGAGCAGGGAACTAAAAGGCCAGCACAGGAGCTCAAAGCTAGTAAGTAGCAAAGGGCCCAGGGCAGAAGCCACTGCAGGCACAACAGAGAAGTGTTAAGTAGGCTGCCCTGAGAGGGACAAATCAGCCCCAGGCAACTCCACAGGGAGGAATCAGGGACATAAACAACTTGACCTCTCTCCTCTGTTAGATCTGTGCCCTGAGCACCTCACTGTCTAAACCCAGCAGAAACCCAGGGACACAGAAGCCCCTGTGCAAGTGTGGCCCACTGTAGCCCAACCTCTTGGGCAGAGAGAAGAAGGGGACACAACACCAGCACAACCACATGTGTGCCACATGCATAAAACTAATGGAGGAAGAGCCATCAGAAGGTCAAAGGGGCTCATGTCTTGGCCGCTTACTCACAGGTGAATTTTTGTTTTCCTCTTCTTACCTTTCTGCATAGTCTATGATGGACGTATAGTACTTTTGGAATCACAGATGAAAGCCACCCGTGTTGAAATAAATTCACAACCCATTATAGTATGCTCATGGTAGGGCCGTGAAGAAAACCAACACTGGCCCCACTGCAAGAGCTGGGGACATTTTTCTGGTGTGTGAGAGAGGAGGCTTAGCTATTTTCAACAATCCGAAAGTCAGTCCTATGGAGGAGGGATTAGATTTGGTCTGCAGTTAGCCCAGGACCAAAAGGCAAAATGACAGGCGGGCAGATGCCAATCAGCCTGATTAAAGCTGCCTGGAAATAGCACATGTTTCCTCAAGCATTCCTGAGCTGTCTGGTCCTGAGGACAATTTAAGCAGAAGCCAGAAAACTTCCTGGTGGACATTCTGTAGAGGTACCTGAAGGATCAGATGGAGCTTTGTACTAGACAAACTTCCAAGTATCTTCTAGGACAAAAGAGAGTAAATTACTATTTTAAAGTATATAACAATGGTGACTGTCATAATTTATTTAATAGTGCTTGCTCTGGTTTTAGGGGTGGAGCAAGGTGGGAAGGGGTGTTTAAGTGAATTCTTGTTATCTCAGACATTTAGCTCCAAGAAAAAGTCTCTCACGAAAAGTATACTGGTAAAAACACTTAGACAGAAAACTCAAATTGGCATAACCAAACAGCCTAGATGCCAAGCTTGGCTGGATCCAGGCACTCAAATGACACATCAAGGCCCGATATTTCTCCACGTCTTGGCTCATTCCTTTATCAGGCTCTCTCTTATGGGGAAAGGGTGTCAACAGGCTCACATCCCCACCACTCCAAGTCCAGTGCAAAAGACAATACCTATTTGTAAATTCTTGGGCCTCAAGTCGTGAGATAAGCTCTATTTGAGCATGATTTGTTTATGGGTCAGCTATCTGTCCCTGAAATATTTACTTTGGCCAAAAGGATGCTACATTCTGGCCACCTCTGGTTCCTTCGGAATAATAGAGAGGAAATATGAAGCTGGCATTAAAAATAGCCTCATTTGGCCTGTAATCCCAGAACCTGGGGAGGCTAAGGCAGGTGGATTGCTTGATCCAGGAGTTCGAGACCAGCCTGGGCAACATGACTACCAAAAACCTAAAAATTATCCGGGCATGGTGGTGCAAGCCTGTAGTCCTACCTATTCAGGAGGCTGAAGTGGGAGGATCTCTTGAGCCTGGGAGGTCAAGGCTGCAGTGAGCTGTGATCAAGCCACTACACTCCAGCCTGGGAGACAGAGCGAGACCTTATCTCAAAAAATAAATAAAAAATAAATTAGTAAAAGTTTCATTCTAAGTTCTGAATGTTTTTCCCTCTGTGTGGGAATTTGACTCAAGCTCTTTTCAGCTATTGGTCTTGTTCTTCAAATGAAATCGCAAGCAGAGCTACTCTATCTGGAATAACTCAGAGAGTGGGTTGCTAAGGAAAAATTCCCAAGTTGTTGAGGCCACCAGAGAGGAAAGGAAT
The DNA here is from genome assembly GCF_000001405.40 of Homo sapiens. Lineage (NCBI taxonomy): Eukaryota > Metazoa > Chordata > Mammalia > Primates > Hominidae > Homo > Homo sapiens. Next base: position 93,201,407 of record NC_000015.10, on the reverse strand, counting down.
AGCTTCAGGAACGCCACTCTGTGAGCACATCATGGATGCCTTGATTTCCCAACCTGGAGGCCAGCCCTTCTTGAAGTTCCATCTATTTGATATCAAAGGGTGCCTCTTCTCCACCTAAAATGATTGTAATTCTCTGGCCAACTGAGAAATTTTCAGTGCAATAAATTCAGAGAATTCTTGACTATAGGATAGTTCAGAGCCTTTAGTGTTTGAATCTGCATTGGGAATATCCAGAGGAAAACACCAAGTGCAGAATTTCTAAACCTACTTGATCATGAAATCATCTGAAGCATCTCTCGGGACTAGTATTCCCTGTAACAAACTCGGGGACACGCTGCTCTAGGGGAGACAGTTTTTCTGACCCTGCCCTACCCTGCCCTGCCCATCATTTTCATCGGGATCACAAAGTAATAAAAGATTACTGAGAAAGGCAGGCTTTGTTCCTCCATCACCTCTCTGGAATGTTTAGAAATGAATATAATAACACAGAGATAAGACCCATCAAATCCCTGGCTTGTCAAAAGAAATCCTTTCTCCATCCAACCTGTTACATGGTTGCTGGAATCAAATTGCAAAAATCCTACACTAACTCCAGCTCCAGTCAGAGAAGAGACCACTGGTGGACTACCCCAAGAGGACTTTTGGCCGCCACGGGAACTCGCAGTCACCTCTGGCAAACCTCTGTCTGCAGCTGCAGAAGATCAAGTCAGGCTCACATCTGTTCCCCAGACACCCCACACTCCACCCCAGCTTCCCTGTCCAACAAAGCCTGGCCAGGTTTTCACAGTTAATCCCTCCAGGCCCCCAGCTCATCTTCTCCCTTCTTACTCCTAAGAATTCTCAGAGATCAAAGCCAAAGGCTTGTTTGCATAACATTCCACAGAACACCTTAAATTCCCAGCTTGAAAGGAGGCTGAAAGAAGGTCACACATACTCTATTGTTGAAATACTTAAACAGCAAGACATGACCAAAGTGTTAACATATGAACCAGCATCATCTCTCTGGACTTTGGGGGTCCTGTGAAGTGAGGGCCTTCCCCCAGTAAGTCAAATATAAGCATCTGATGAGAAGTCAACTAGAATTCTCCTTGGAGGTCACTCTGAGTTGACTCAGGCAATACACTGATTCTGAGATGGAAATTGAGAGCTACTGCCATAACCCAACGGGTCAGCCTTCAAATTCAAATGAGGCCTGAAATGTTCATTCCGGATGGCCCCTCTGATCCATTCAGTTCCCTGTTCTTCCTCCCCACGGTCTTGGTTCACAAAATAATATGGCTTTTTAGAACAGAAAGGTCATCTAGTCTGGAGATTTTCAAACTTTCTGGCAGCAGCAAAAAAAAATTGCAGACACAATCTTACACAGGGCTCTAATTTAAAGCAAATAAATTTGGGGTCTCTGAAGGAGGGTAAGAGTGAGCATAGAAGGATTTTCACCTTCTCAGTCACCCCTCCACCATAGTGGCTTTGGGCTCCCACAGCTTGAAAAGTCCCTGATATTGTCCAACGCCTTCAGATTACACGAACGCTGAGGACCCAGAGAAGGAAAGGGAACTTCCCAGTCTCACGTGGTACACACTACAGAGCCCACTGAAATCCAGGTTTCAATTCCTGGGCAAAGCTATCTTCTCCTTCCAAACAGCTGATGCCACCACAATCAACCAAGTCTCTCTCTTGTGCTCCAAACCTTAAGTACTCATTGGAGCTCATACCTTTGCTCTTCACTTCAAAACAGTCTCCAACATGGTCAGTCCTACTTTCAGAATGTCCCTTTTCTGTTCTCACCATCACCACCTTTCTTACTGAGAAACACCAGGGACCCGGCATCTGTCCCTCCTACCCTCAGCCCCCGTGCCCAGGCTCTGCAGTTGCTAGATCCTGTTTCCTAACCTTGGTTAACCATTAAAATCACCTAGGAGCTTATTAAAAATATAAATTCCTGGGCCCAGCACTAGACCTAATGAATCAGCATTTCCAAGCGTGGGTCCAAGAATCTGTGATTTAAATAAGTACCCCTAGATAATTGATGATTGGCTAGCTTTGGGAAGCATTACATTCAACGAGGTTGTGTTCCTTATTCATATCCATCACCCAAAGCAAAGGAATTTTCACATTAAATCACAGCCGTCTTTGCTGGTGTAACTTCTCTGGACACCTGTTTGGAATTATGGAGGGAATGGTCTCTGCAAAACCCTTCCCTCATGTATTCTAAAGACACAACCACAGACATGAGCAAAGATGTACCTGTTATGATGCTCACTGCTGCACTAAAGAATGGAAATGTTCACCAATGAGGGAATTGAGTCAATAAATTTTGGTATATACATGCAATCTTATACATTTACTAAAAAATATTTAGAATATTAATAACATGCAAATATGTTCACATTCTATGAATATAAACACAACATGCTACAAGAGTCAATGTACAATAGGATTCTATTTTTTCATATGCATAAAATAACTAAAAAGAGAAACAAGAACATATTAATGATATCTCTAGAATGGTGGTGGGAATAGTGGCATTGTTTATTTCCTTACTTGTATTTCTTTCAATCTTCCAAAATGGCTATAGAGATCATGGATTTCGGCATCTATACAAAAACAAAGCTACCTTGAAACTATCTTGAGAGGAGAAAAAAAGAGCAAGTTAGAGGATCGAGATGATGGTTTAAGATGCGTTACTGTTTATAATCTTATCCATACCACTTAAAGTGACAAACAAGAGTTTTCTTGTTTTGCTGTTGTTATTGTTTTAAGTATAACTTCATAAAAGCTCTGGACAACAGGAAGGCATACCAGCCATAGGGCAGATATCATAAGAAATTCCTGGCATGCAGAAAGCTAATGGGGTCCCTAGATATTTGAGGAAAATCAATAATGTGAAGGAAGAGAATAAAAACAAAATCTCTTAGTATGTAGGTAAAAGAGACAGGTTTTAAATAAGAAAGAAAACATATTTGAAGAACGTATCCAAAAATCTAACTTCCATCCATTGGGAGGAGAAAACAGAGAAAATGGTGAAAAGGGAGAAAAACAAAAGAACTAATGGGGGAGGAGGGGAATGGTCAATGGAAGAAACAGCATTCAGATTAAAATAGCCTACTGAGTAGATAATACAATAATAGTAAAGCTGAACTGTTTCAGAGCAAGACACTGAGCTAAATGGTTTACATGCAGTATGTATTTTCATCTTTGTAGCAACCCTGTGAGTTCCCAACTCATAATTTCTCCCACGGTACAGATGAGAAAACTGTTTAGAGAGACTAAAATCACTTGCCCAAGTATAGACAGCTACTAATTAATGGAGCCATATGCTTGATGAAATTTTAGTACACCTAAGATATTCTAAGAACTTTCTTTCTTTTCCAGAAAGAAAAGAGCCTCATCTTTAAGAAATAAGAAATACATAGAAATAAAACTCTTCTTCAGCAATACTGGATTTTAAAAGGCAAAAGATTTATTCATTCTGAAGAGAAACCAGACTGGATTTTAGAAAAAAGCACCAAAGTCACAGAGAAAATTATTTTGAACCTAGAATACTATATGCAGCAAAAACAACAACTATAAAATGAAGACATTTTTAATCATTAAGTACTCAAAATGTTTGCATCCAGACTCTCACTGGAGAATGAGTCAAGAATTCTATAAATTAATTAATTAATTCCAAAACAGAAGGGTGTGGGATTTGAGAAATAATGGTTAACAAATCAATGAATAAAACATAATTTAGTCTAAATAAATACTGTAATATAATGCTAAAAGGAGAAGGAAAAAAAAAGGAAAAAGAAGGAAGATGGAGAGGAGAAGAAGGAGGAGGAGGAAAAGAAGAAGAAATAAACCCCCGATAATTATAGCATGTAAGGGGATAAAAGCTGAGGAGGAAAAGTAATAGTGTGCTAAAGTCAAAGAAGAAAAGATAAGAAAATTATGTTATTTATAAATAAATAATAATAAAGACAACATATGAAAGTATGTAGAAACATAGCTAAGGTATTTCTTAGAGAAAAATTTCTGAGTGTGTGTGTGCATGTGTATTGTGTGTGCCTGGGTGTGTGTATCACTCATTCATACACACACACACACACACACACAAACTTAATATTTAATTAACAAGGCCAGGCATGGTGGCTCACGCCTATAATCCCAGCACTTTGGGAGACCGAGATGGGCTGATTACTTGAGGTTGGGAGTTGGAGACCAGCCTGGCCAACATGGTGAAACCCTGCCTCTACTAAAAATACAAAAATTATCCAGGTGTGGTAGTGGGCACCTGTAATCCCAGCTACTTGGGAGGTGGAGGTAGGAAAATCACTTGAACCCGGGAGTTGGAGGTTGTGATGAGCCAAAATTGTGCCACTACACTCCAGCCTGGGCAAAAGAGGGAGACCACCTCAAAAAAAAATGTATATATATATATATTCTTAATCAACAAGGCATGACATCAGTGGAAATAGTGGAGTAAGGACCTCTGAAAGTCTTCTCCTCCATTAAAGAAATAAAAATGCTGGTAGAAATGGTCAAAATCAGCATTTTCAGAACTGTGGAAGTTAACCAGCAGTTGCGGAAATCCATGAGGCATTTATTCAAGAAAATGGCTGAGTCTCAGTAAGAACAGCAAGCTTTGTGGCATTTTAACTTCCTGACTCCTTCTCTCTAGCCCCATAGTAGCTTTGAAAATTGACAGTCCTCCAGACAGTCCTGCAAACAGCCCTGAAAACCAGCAGCCTAACAGCCACTCCAAGAGATAAAATGAGGTTGAATGTTCTCCAGAATCCCCTTCAGAGAAGTGTCATAATTTGTCATATCTGGCATTTTCCTGGAAAATCCCACCACCAGCATTTGTCTTTATTTGACCTGCCTCAGAGCTTGCTCAGTACGAACAGCGTTTCCCTAAGCTTCTATCCAAAACAATCAGCAGCAATTGTGTAACATTGCAGCTGCCTGAGGCAGTGATATCAGTTAGGACAAACAACAACCAGGAACCAAAAAAAAAAAAAAAAAAAGAAGAAGAAAAAGCCAGGAGTCAGGTATCAATGGGGCTTTGGAAATGTCTGTCATTCCTGAGAAGCTAAGAGGCCACATGTGTGCATAGGGCCATGTGCATGCCGGGGGATATGCACGTGTTCAGTAAAGATCTGAGAAGTCTCTAAGCTCTCACATATGGACGACCCTGAGGCTCTGCACAAACAGAAGGTGAGGGCTAAGGCAGAGTTGCAAACTGCCTGTCTAAGGATTGAAGTGTGCTCCCAGTACACATGTCACTAGCAGGCCTGCCCTAAGATAAATAAAGAGTGCCCCAAAGGCAGAAATGAAAGAGCATTAGACAGTAATGCAGATACATGTGAAGAAATAAAGAGCACTTATAAAGATAATGACATAAGTCAATAAGTAAATACAAAAGACAATGTACATTTAGTTTTTGTTTGTGAGTCATTTTGGCTCCTATCTGATTTAAAACACAACTAGAGGCCCGGTGAGGTGGCTCACGCCTGTAATCCCAGCACTTTGGGAGGCTGAGGCGGGCAGATCACGAGGTCAAGAGATTGAGACCATCCTGGCCAACATGGTGAAACCCCGTCTCTATTAAAAATACAAAAAAATTAGCCAGGCGTGGTGGCAGGCGCCTGTAGTCCCAGCTACTCAGGAGGCTGAGGCAGGAGAATCGCTTGAACCTGGGAGGTGCAGGTTGCAGTGAGCCGAGATCTCACCACTGCACTCCAGCCTGGCAACAGAGCGAGACTCCATCTCAAAAAAACAAAACAAAACAAAACAAAACAAAAAACACACACACAACTAGATAAAGTGGTCATTATAAACATTTTTATAAATTATAAAAGTATGCAGAAAGTTTATAAAAGTGTATAAAAAGTGTATTAGTCTGTTCAAGCTGCCACAACAAAATACCACAGACTGGATGGCGTAAACAACAGAAATCTATTTTTCCCAGTTCTGGGTACTGGGAAGTTCAAGATCAAGGTACCAGCTGATGCAGTTTCTGGAAAGGACTCTCTTCCTAGATTGCAGATGGCACCTCCTTATTTTATCCTCACGTGGCTGCAAGACAGAGTGCTGGAGTTTCTTCCTCTTCTCAAAAGGGCACCAGCACCATTAAATTACATCTCTACACTTTTGACCTCATTTAACCTTTATCACTTCCTCACAGGCTCTACCTCCAAATACAGGGGATTAGAACTTCAACATACGAATGGGGGCAGGGAGACACAAACATTCAGTCCCTAACAAAAAGTTTATAAATTATAAAGGTATACAAAAAGTTTATTTTAAAAGTGATTATACGGTACATTATTATTAACTATAGTCACTGTGCTGTGCATTTGATCTCCAGAATGTATTCATCTCATAACTGGAAGTTTGTGCCCTTTGACCAGCATCTCCCCATTTCCCCCGACACCCTGTCCCGTGATAACCACCACTCTACTCTGTGCTCCTATGACTTCAACTCTTCTAGATTCCACATATAAGTGAGATCATGCAGTATTTCTCTATCTATCTGGCTGATGAGAACACATGGACACACGGTGGGGGAAACGATCACACTGGGGCCTCCTGGAGGGTGGAGGGTGGGAGGAGGGAGAGGATCAGGAAAAATAACTAATGGATACTAGGCTTAATACCTGGGTAATGAAATAATGTGTACAAAAGACCACCATGACATGAGTTTACCTATATCACAAACCTGCACATGTACCCCTGAACTGAAAATAAAAGTTAATAAATAAATACAAATTTGGTAAGAGAGATCTTAAGTATGCTCACACACACAAAAAGGTAACTACGTTAGATGATGAATACGTAAATTAGCTTGATTGTAGTAATCATTTCACAATATATATGTATTGTAAAACATCACATTGTACACTTTAAATATATAATTTGTATCTGTCAATTATGCCTTAATAAAGCTGGAAAACAAGATGATTATAAATGTGCTATGTTGAGCACATAGTGTATGTAATTTGTAATAATAACAGCATAAAGAAGGAAGAAGGAATGGAAATATCTCAGAGCATACACACAAATGAGATTAAGTTGGTATTAATCTGAACTATATTGTTATAAATTAAAATGTTAATGATAAGCACAGAGCAACCACTAAGAAAATAACCTAAAAAATACGTAGTGAAAGAGACAAGGGAATTAAATGGCGCATCAGGATATATTGATTTAACACATCAATAGAAAAATGACCACAGAATATAAACAAATATTCAAAAAATGAAAATAAATAAGAATGGAAAATAAATATACAAAAAGATGATCAACCACCCTACTAAATGGAGAAATATTACTGTAAATGGTGGGGTATTTTTAATCCATCAAATCAGCAAAAATTAAAGTCGGTGTTGCCAAAGTATGCTAAAATTAGGACCCTGGTATGTTGAATGTAGGAGTGAAAATTGGTGTAGCCTTTGGGGAAGGCGTTTTGGCTGAGTCCATCAAAATTTAAAATGTACGTGCTCTTCGACCCAGCAAGACCACTTCCAGAAAGATATCCGTATATGCATGCCCAGGGTCAAGTGTGAGAATGTGCCCTTGAGCAAAACACATGTCTGAATATAGGGTATTTTGGTCTTTAAAAAAAACCTGATAGTTGATTAAAATGATAAATATAAAAATACTTTATATAATCTTGAGTCTTATAAAAACACACCAATCACTATACCTCCTTTTGTCTTTTTGTAGCTAGTAGAAGAATTTTTGTGGGGAGAGATTCACTTACTTTGAGAAAATGTGAAGAAACTTTGCCAAAACAGAGCTGAGCTTCTGGGATCTAAAAGTGGGCAGGAAAAGATGCTACTTCACACAGAGCAGAAGGAAGAAGAAAGGAAAGGAGAGATAAGAGAGGCTGCATGCTTTATGATGTGTCCTTTTTCCAAGACTGTGCACCCCCTCATTCTCCAAATAACTGTCAATAACATTAATAAATTCATCAGGAATTGTGGATCCACTATATTTAATCTCTATGTCCCAAATCAGTCCTTATGTATCCCCAGGGTGTAAGCCCATTCCCCCAACACGCACTGCTCCGTGACTCTCCCACACAGACATTCGTCCCCACTTAGCTAACAATCTTTTACCTACATGGAGTTACCGTTGGTAAGATTGTTCCAGTGACACATATATTGGTATAAACATTTTTAAATCAATATCAAAGGAAAAGCTTTATGATTTTTTGGATTTGTCAATAATTTCTTGGTTAAGACATCAAGAGCACAGACAACAAAATTCAACAAAAGCAAAAACAGAGAACAGAGACTGCTTCAAACTGAAAAACTGTTCATCAAAAGACATAATCAAAATAATGAAATGGGAGAAAATATTTACAAATCACATAGATGATAACAGATTAATAGTTAGAATATGCCAGGCGCTCACGCCTGTAATCCCAGGACTTTGGGAGGCTGAGGCAGGCAGATCACGAGGTCAGGAAATCGAGACCACCCTGGCCAACATGGAGAAACCTCGTCTCTACTAAAATACAAAAAATTAGCCAGGTGTGATGGTGCGCACCTGTAGTCCCAGCTACTCAGGAGGCTGAGGCAGGGGAATCACTTGAACCCGGGAAGCGGAGGTTGCAGTGAGCCGAGATCGTGCCACTACACTCCAACCTGGCGACAGAGCGAGACCCCATCTCAAAAAAAAAAAAAAAAACCCAGGCGCAGTGGCTCATGCCTGTAATCCTAGCACTTTGGGAGGCTGAGGCAGGCAGATCATGAGGTCAAGAGATGGAGACCATCCTGGCTAACAAGGTGAAACCCCGTCTCTACTAAAAATACAAAAATTAGCTGGGCGTGGTGGCGGGCACCTGTAGTCCCAGCTACTCAGGAGGCTGAGGCAGGAGAATGGCGTGAACCCAGGAGTCAGAGTTTGCAGTGAGCCAAGATTATGCCACTGCACTCCAGCCTGGGCAACACAGCGAGACTCCGTCTCAAAAAAAAAAAAAATTATAACACATAAAGAATTCCTACAACTCAACATAAAAAATCAAATAACCCAATTTAAACAAAGGACTTGAATAGACGTTTTTCCAAAGGTGATATACAAATGGCCAACAAGCATATGAAAAGATGCTCAACACCACTAATCATCAGAGAAATGCAAATCAAAACCATGATGAGATATTGCCTCACACCCATTAGGATGGCTACTATAAAAAAAAGTGTTTGTGGTGGTGTGGAAAAGTTGGGACTCTTGTGTACCGTTGGTGGGATTATAAAATAGTGCAGCTGCTGTGGACAGTACAGAGGTTCCTCAAAAAATTAAAAATAGAACTACCATATGATCCAGCAATCCCACTCCTGGGTATATACCCAAAGGAATTGAAAGCAGGGTCTCAAAGGGATATTTGTATACCCATGTTCATAGCGGCACTGTTCACAAGAGACAAGAGATGGAAGCAACCAAAACATCTGTCAATGTATAAATACATAAACAAAATGTGGTATTACACACAATGGAATACTTCCTTAAAAAGGAAGAAAATCTCATTATATGCTACAACCTGGATGAACTGAGGACATTATGGTAAGTTAATAAGTTCGTCACAAAAGGACAAATTCTATATGATTCCACCTATATAAAGCCTCTAAAGCAGTCAGATTCCTAGACAGAGAAAGTCGAATGGTGGCTGGGGGAGAGAGGACAAAAAGGAGCTGTTGTCCAATGGGTACAGATTTTTTTTTTTTTTAAGACCGCTGGAGTGCAGTGGCGTGATCTCAACTCACTGTGACCGCCGCCTCCCGGGTTCAAGCAATTCTTCTGCTTCAGTCTCCTGAGTAGCTGGGATTACAGGCACCCACCACTACACTCGGCTAACTTGTGTATTTTTAGTAGAGACGGGGTTTCACCATGTTGGCCAGGCTGGTCTCAACCTCCTGACCTCAAGTGATCCACCCGCCTCAGCCTCACAAAGTGCTGGGATTACAGGCGTGAGCCACCGCGCTCGGCCAGGTACAGAATTTGAGTTCTACAAGATGAGATAGTTCTGGAGATCTCTTTGATAGCAGTGCAGATATACTAAACGCTACTGAACTGTATACTTAAAAATGGTTAAGAAATGTTAAGATGGTAACATTTATGATATATGGTTTTAACCACAATTTAAAAAATATAACAAAAGATGCTTTTCTGATGTAGAAGGACTTTTTCTTGACTTTATGTGCTAGTGAATTCTTAAGAGCTGTAGCTAATTAACATTGGCTTGACAGGATGCTCACAGCTATGCCATTGCTGGGGGGCTCTGGGAAAAAGTCCTTGGCTTTGATCCACAAGGTACAAGAAGGTAATCTGTCCCTCGGAGAACTGTGTAATGCCAGCTTTCATCCTCACTGCAGCTGGCTGGAGCTAGATCGATGCTGGACCTTCAGTGGATCACAGAACCTTTCTGAGGTTGGGATAATAATGTAATACAATGAAATAATGTAGGTAACCTGCTCAGCCTCATGCCTAGCACAGAGAAGGTGCTCAGGAAAGGCCGGGCGCGGTGGCTCACGCCTGTAATCCCAGCACTTTGGGAGGCAGAGGCGGGCGGACCACGAGGTCAGGAGATCGAGACCATCCTGGCTAACACAGTGAAACCCCGTCTCTACTAAAAATACAAAAAAATTAGCCAGGCGTGGTGACGGGCACCTGTAGTCCCAGCTACTCCGGAGGCTGAGGCAGGAGAATGGCGTGAACCCGGGAGGCGGAGGTTGCAGTGAGCCGAGATTGGGCCACTGCACTCCAGCCTGGGCGACAGAGCGAGACTCCGTCTCAAAAATAAATAAATAAATAAAATAAAATAGAAGGTGCTCAGGAAAATAAAAATTCACTTAGTCAATCAGTGTGAGAAGAAGCAACCTGTCCCTCTCAGCACCAGTGTCAAAAGGAAAAGACTCTCAGAGAAATTAATGCAGGAATGCAGGAATTCATCGATCATGGAATCTGTGTGTGGGGAGGGTGAGAGGGGCAGAGAAGAGTAGAAGGAGGAGGAGGAAAAGGAGCAGAGGAAGGTAAGGGGAAGGAGAGGAGGGAGAAGAAAGAAGTTCAAAAACCGAGGAATCACAATTCACGGAGCATTTCCATAGCACCTCCCCGAGCGCCAGGTACTGCTCTAAATGCCTCGCGGATATACCTCATTTAATTATCACAGTAATTCCATGAGGCAGGGACTCTACGTCCATTTCCCGGGCTGATAAACTGAGATATAGAGTACTTAGGTAACCTACCCGAGATGCACACAGAGCCAGAGCTTAAACCCCTTCTCGCTATTTCCAGAGTCAGGCTCTTCGCCACTTCACCATCCTGCATGTCAGGAAAATGAAATATGAAGAAAATTGCCAATTCTTCCATTGTTCTACTAGAAGATAATTGAGCCACTGACTGAGGCTCTCCTGTGCCCACTAGCTCACTGCCCTGACTGCATTTTATTGGAAATTTCAGCTAACTCTCACCACCTCCCACTAAACCGCTTTCCTGAGGGCAGAAATCCATCTTCCAGCTGTGAATCAGGATTTGCCACAGGAAACCCCTGCCTGCCTCCTAACACCTGCCATTCATTAGACACTGAATCTGGTAGGGCCGTCCTGGGATCTGAAGGTCTTTAGATCGCCAGGGCCACGTTTCTGGGAGGCTGGTGCATTTGGAACCGCCCTATCATTCTGGGAGGCCTCTGTGTCCCCAGCTGCCCTGCAGAGTCGCTGTTAGACACTGCACACCTGCCCCGCACCCCAGATGCAGACTCCGTAATTCTTCAGGTCAGCCCCAGTTCATGTAACTGGCTTTTCTCAATCAAAGGCATTTGCCAAGTGTTCAAGGATTATTACAGCGATTTGTTACACTGAGAAGACTTTTCATCTGGATACATTTGCAAGTCAAAGAAAACCGTTTCTTAGCCCACAGGTCTTAATCACTTTGTTAATCTTAAAGCAGCTGTGATCTTAAAATTCAGTGCTATCAGTAAAGACAATATATAGAGACAAAGACAGACAGAGATAAAGACAGAAAGAGACTAATGTGGAAAACACATTTTAATTTTTTTAATTAAAATGTATTTTAGGCCAGGTACGGTGGCTCATGCCTATAATCTCAGCACTTTGGGAGGCTGAGGGAAGGGGGTATGGCTTGAGCCCAGAAGTTCAAGACCAGCCTGGGCAATGCATTTCTCTAGAGACCCATCTCTAGGGGGAAAAATAAAAATAAAAAATAAATAAAAATGTATTTGAAATAGAAAAAAAAAAGAGAAAATGTCCATAAGCAAATAGTGGAGGAAAAAAAAAGTCACCCTATTCAGAAACAACTACCTTTAGTGTTTTAATGTATACCCTTCCAGATATTTTTCTCCGCACATGTGTTTATATAAAAGTGAGATTATAGCTGCCACTTTTAACCTGCCTTTTCTTCTGCACATTATTATACCATTCTTCCAGCTTTCCATGCTTCTTGTCATTATTCTCACTGTACTTTACTGGAATTTTCCATCATGTTTTTTGACCCAAAAGTATTCTATAAAATGAACGTATCCTACTTATTTTGCCAACCCTCTATTCTTGAACACTAGATTGAGTCCAATTTTTTCTCCTGTAAACAATTCTTTAATTATCTCAACATCTGAAACAAATGCCACTCATCTAAAAGACTGGAACTCAAGAAATACACTACCAGCAGCAGTCTGAAATCATAGGAAATGGACTCTTATTCTGAATTTCGTTTTCTTTCTGGACTTTATATTTCTAAGTCCTTTTCTGTCACCAAACCATTTTACCCATCTAAGAACTCCCTCTCCTCACTCCTTCTCTCCATTCCTGGCTACTCATCTACCAGTTTTTCTGAAACAACTTCTTCCTTCCCTTTTATTAAGTGCACTTGTGCTATATCCGTTCCCTTGCTTTTATCCACTCACCCTCCGTACTATTGACTCATGCCACCCTTTGAAGCCTACTGCACAAAAGACACACGCAAAGCCCTGTGGGGATCAAAGGGTGAAAACAGAACATCCTGAGTCCTAAAGGAATTCAGAATCTAACTGGAGATGCAAGGTATATACACAGTGGTATGCTGATAAATTGGCTCTCTGAGGGGGAAAAGCCCTTGATGTGTATAGGTTTGCCAATTTCCATGCTATAGAATATTCCCACCATGGCCAACTACCAATATGATGTAACTGAGCTGAAGGCTGGGAAGAGACGAGATGCACACAAACCAGCTGTGTGCAGGACACAACTACATGTACATGAAAAGCTATAATACATACATGTGTATATACACACATATATACACATACACATATGTGGGTACATGTACATGCATATGTATTTTAGCTTTTCATGGGCATACAGTCATGTATATTCATACATATAAATAGACAAGACAGTCAGAGCAGACATTTAGAAGTAGGCAATCATGTTATCATCATTATCATCATTATCATCCTCATTATCAATACAGTAAAATGTATTGAGTGCTTACAATGCATCCAGTGCTGTGTTCAATGTTTTATATGCATTACTTTATAACTCTCCTATGAGAGGTATTATTATTACCACCAATTTTACAACTCCACCCTTGAAAGTGGGAGTCTTGAAGAAGGAGATAGTTTGCCCTTGGTCATTCAATGCAATAAATGGCGAAGTCAGGATTAAATCAAGGTCCATCTGATTCCAGAGCCCAGGCTCTGATGACTTCCCTCTCCTGCTGCTTCAGGCCAGGGAGCCAGGCCTCAGGGCTTCACACTGTGGACCCCAAGGGGCAGACCAGCCATGAATCCAAAGAGGTGAACTGGTGGTCCTATCAAGCCATGTGACCAAGGTTCTCAAATGCACGGTTCTCCAAGGTGCATTGCACCCGTTCTCCAAAGCACTGTGAAGGCTGATTCCTAACACCCAAAATTTCCCTTCAGCTTACTGTATAATTTTATCTTCATTTAGTTCCCTCCTTTTCTTACCAAAAGCCTCCCTGGGTCTTTTTGTTTTATTTTTAACTGTAACTTTTCTTGCGCTTATTTGTTTATAATTTGTCCCTGGAATTCTTTTTTAAAATTTCTACCTTGTTACTAATTTTCAGTGATAATTCTTTGTTATGAAAACTGGGAGACAAAGAACTTGTAGAACAAGAAGGAATGAATAAATGTAAAGAAGGCAGGTGATGAAACCATAAAAATTCTAGAAGATAACGTCGTAAAAACTCTTCTGGACATTGGCTTAGGCAAAGAATTCATGACTAACACCCCAAAAATAAATGCAACAAAAACAAAAAAATACATGGGAGCTAATTAAACTAAAAAGCTTCTGCACGGCAAAAGAAATAATCAGCAGAGTAAACAGACAACCCACAGAATGGGAGAAAACATCCACAAACTATGCATCCGACAAAGGACTAGAATCCAGAATGTAGAAGGAACTCAAACAAATCAGCAAGAAAAAAGCAAATAATCCCATCAAAAAGTCGGCAAAGGACATGAATAGACATTCCTCAAAAGAAAATATACAAACAGCCAACAAAACATGAAAAAATGCTCAACTTCACTAATCATCAGGGAAATGCAAATTAAAACCACGAGATACCACCTTACTCCTGCAAGAATGGCCATAATTAAAAAGTCAAAAACAACAGATTGGATGTGGTGAAAAGGGGACACCGTTACACTGCTGGTGGGAATGTAAATTAGTGCAACCGCTGTGGAAAACAGTTTAGTGATTCCTTAAAGATCTAAAAGTAGATCTACCATTGGATCCAGCAATCCCACTACTGGGCATCTACCCAAAGGAAAAGAAGTCATTATATGAAAAAGCACATGCACACACATTTATAGCAGCACAATTCACGACTGCAAAGATATGGAACCAACCTACATGCCATCAACCAACAAGTGAATACAGAAAATGTGGTATATATACACCATTAGATACTACTCAGCCATAAAAAGGAATGAAATAATGTCTTTTGCAGCAACTTGGATGGAGCCGGAGACCATTATTCTAAGTGAAATAACTCAGGAACGGAAAACCAAATATTGTATGTTCTCACTTATAAGTGGGAGCTAAGCTATGAGGACGAAAAGGCTTAAGAATAATATAATGGACTTTGGGGACTCAGAGGGAAGGGTGGAAGGGGGTGAGGGATAAAAGACTGCACACTGGGTACAGTGTATACTGCTCAGGTGATGGGTGCACTAAAAACTATTGAAATAAAACATAAAAAAAGTTTTCAAGTAGGTGAAAGGCCCAAAGGGTGGGCCAGATGACACTGTGTCAGCAGGATAAGGTTGTCATTCAGAAAGCACAGGTATATATACAATAGGAGTGTTAGTGTAGGAATTTTGCAATAATTCTCCCATTCCTCGGCTCTGGAGACTCTGAGTCTAGTTCCACAACAGAAGGACTTGAGAAAATTGGACAGAATTCAGCAGAACCCCACAAAGATGAGTAACGAATTGAAAAATGAGACCAAAGATGCCAGGTTAAACACACAAAGAATCTTCCTGCTGACACAGAAGGCTGAAAAGAAGAGTGAAAATAGTTTCCATTGAAGAAAAGAATGAGGAATTAATATTTCTCAAGCAGTAACCACGTGCTGGGCATTGTATTTGGCATTTTATATACATTATCTCAAATAACTTACAGTAACCCTTCAAAGTAGGTCTTATTAACCTTGTCAATCAAAGAAAATGACGAGACAAGTCTCAATCATTTTTGGAGATTTATTTGCCAAAGTTAAGGACGTACCCAGAAGACAGGTCAATGCCTTTCTCTGAAGATGATTCTGAGGTCTCCAAATTTAAAGGGGAAAGGGCGGGATATTGAGAAGCACACAGTTTTCACTTAAAAGGGGCAAAGGAAAAATGTGGGGAATCTGCACTTTATATTAGATAACACACACAAAATATGCATTTGTGTCTGGCAGGCCGGGGTGACTGCACCTGTAAAGATAAGCTATCAATTAGCATTGCCACGGTGAGTTTGGGGTCCCGAAATTTAATTTCCTTTTACAATCTCCATGCTTTCTGATGGTAACACAATGTCTACAAGGGTTTGGTAACTTGTTCAGCCCACACAGCTGACATGTGAAGAGTGAGAAAGCAAACCCCTGGCTCATGCTGCTGTAAACCCATGTTTTTTCTACTGTAAAGACTGCCTCTTGGCCAGGCATGGTGGCTCATGACTGTAATCCTAGCACTTGGGGAGGCCAAGGCAAGTGGATCACTTGAATCCAGGAGTTCCAGATCAGCCCAGGTAACAAAGTGAGACCCCGGCTCTACAAAAAAATAATAAAAATGAGTTGGGGATAGTGGTGCGTGCCTGTAGTCCCAGCTCGGGAGGCTTAGGTAGGAAGATTGCTTGAGCTCAGGAGATCAAGCCTGCAGTGAGCTGTGATCGTGCCATTGCACTCCAGCCTGGGCAACAGAGCAAGACCCTGTTTCAAAAAAAAAAAAAAGACTGCCTCCTATTGAGCTAGCACAGTTTCTCTACTGTGGTGCAAATGACATTTGTGGTCAGGTATTCTTTGCTGTGGGTATAAGGAGCAGGAGCAGGTAGGGGTTAAGAGCACAGGTTCCAACCGCCTTCTGCCCAGATTAGAATCTCCACCTTTCCACTCACTAGCTGTAAAACCTCGGGAGTTGTTCTTAGTCTCTTCTGCCTTAGTCTCCTCATCTGTACAATGGGAATAATCACAGTATCCACCTCATAAACTACTGTGAGGATTAAATTGTTAATGACTGTATATTAAGCACACAGAACAGTACCCAGCCTGACCCAACAGCTCTGTCAGTGTTACTGTTATCTTTGAGAAGGAAAGGCCTTTACAGGCTGTATTATCTATTCTCTAACTTTCAGGAACCCAATACATGCCAAAGTTAATAGCTTACACGGTCGATTCATTTTTCCTTATTTCTGGCCAAAATGACTGCTAAAAAAATTCTTAGGCAAAATGGAGATCCATTGAGCACTCGATCTGCTATAAACTTCTTCAGTGACTCTTCATTGGAGTCTTGACTCTTAATTCTCCCCCTGGACACACTTGACCATATTTAGAGACTTTTTTTTTTTTTTTTGAGACGGAGTCTCACTCTGTCACCAGGCTGGAGTGCAGAGTCGCGATCTCGGCTCACCGCAACCTCCGCCTCCCAGGTTCAAGTGATTCTCCTGCCTCAGCCTCCCGAGTAGCTGGGACTACAAGCACGTGTCACCACACCCAGCTAATTTTTGTATTTTTAGAGACGGGGTTTCACCATGTTGGCCAGGATGGTCTCAATCTCTTGACCTTGTGATCCGCCCGCCTTGACCTCCCAAAGTGCTCAGATTAAAGGCGTGAGCCACCGTGCCCAGCCGAGAGACATTTTTTATTGTCACAGCTGGTAAGACCAAGGCAGAAAGGACCAAGGAAACCTCCCAAGGTATCACAGCTAGTGAATGGCGGGGTTGGGATTCGAACCTGGGCAGAAGGCTGTCAGAGCCTATGATCTTGACTCCTACACGATCCTGCCCCTTACACCCAAAAACAGACAATGAGGCTGCACAAAACGGACCTTTTGCCTGAAAACAATTGTCTTTTTCAGTATTAACTCTGCACAGAGGGACTCAAGATGTCGTTCTTCTGACCCTCGTCCTCCCTCCAGCACACAGGCCCAAAAGAAAACACCTGGTATGAATTGCCTTCCCTAAAGCAGTGGTTACAACATTTGCAAAGAAATCACCTGAGTGTTGTCTTTGACATTCCCCAAAGATTCTGATTCCCTAGCTCTAGGGAAGAGCACAGGAGTCTGCATTTTAAACCAGCTGCCCAGGCTCTAATGGGTCTGATTAAAGTAGCTCCAGGACTATCTCTCAAGAAACTGGGCTCCGAAACCTTGGGCCTAGTTCAGCATAAAAGCCGCTAGGATCCAGGTGAGACATTAAATAGGCTTGATTTTCCTATGCTAATTTCAGCAGGTAGGGGCTTTCCTGAGACAGATCAAGAGATCCACAGGGATGAGTGTGATGGCTGATTAGTGCTGCCTGCCACAAGTGCAGGAATGGGGGTAACGGTTCACTTGATCTGTCTGCTGACCCTGATCAAGAGTCAATGTCAGCATCACAATCATTCCAGACTGCAAGCTCTCAGCCTTCCGCCAGTTCCTGGCAAGAGGCCTCACCATAAGCTACACTCCTTTCTTTACACACTGGCTATTATTAGTGTGCATAATGCAATTTTTGTTAACGTGGTTATTAAGATAAGAGCAGGATTAAAGCCTGTGTGTTATTGGTGGCAACCACCTCAGACCTGCTGTTAGGTTTTTCACAGCTCCTCTTGCGGCTCCCTCACTGATGCCCACGGCGAACCTCACCTTCAGAGAACACAGGTTCAGCAACGCAGCACTGCAGCCTGGGGAGCACGGGCGGCCAGGACAGGCTTGCTGCTCCCCTTTCCCTTTCTACAGGAATTAGCCCAGCCAGAGGAGGTAGCCGGGAGGCAGACAAAGTCCTCTGCACACTGAAGTAAGACAAATGCCACAGGAAACAGGAGCTATGTCCTTTGTGCACTGCTGCCTGCCCAGTACGCAGCACAGATGAAAGGCCCAGTGCAGGAAAAGCATTAACCAATAACTGTGGAATGAAGGAAGGAAGATTGGTAGTGGGCCAGTCAAGCAACAAGTAAAAAAAAAAGAGTGAGAGAGAGAAAGAAAAAAGGTTGCAACAAGCATGGCCTCTGACCCTCATAGAAAATGACTGATGGGGCCGGTCATGGTGGCTCATGCCTGTAATCCCAGCAGTTTGGGAGGCTGAGGCGGGTGGATCAGTTGAGGTCAGGAGTTCGAAACCAGCCTGGCCAACATGGTGAAACCCTGTCTCTACTAAAAATACAAAATTAGCCGGGCGTGGTGGCACACACCTGTAATCCCAGTTACTCGGGATGCTGAGGCAGGATGAATGGCGTGAACCCGGGAGGCGGAGCTTGCAGTGAGCCGAGACTGCACCACTGCACTCCAGCCTGGGCAACAGAGCGAGACTCAGTCTCAAAAAAAAAAAAAAAAAAAAAAAAAGACTGATGGGTCTGATGGATCCCAAATGAGGGCTTTCACCTGCAACACAGGATCTATGGAGACACTGAAGATCTGCCCCCATACAATTGTGCTAATTGGAGGACCTGGCCTGAATCTTTCACTGCTTTCTTGAGATCTTACAGTTTTTATGAGTGACTCTGGCACAAGGGAAATGGATCAGATAGGAGTATTTAAAACTGGTTTGGGGAGAAGTTCTTCTCAGGTGACAAAAAAAATATAGCAACAACACTACCCTCCTGATGTCACACAATAAACGAACGCATCCTTTCTCTCCGCTCTCTGGGGCAGGCAATGTGAAGTCTGCCCTTCCTAGGACAGTGGGTTCCTCACTGTCCACTCCCCTATTTTCTGACTTTTCCCATGCTACTTCATTCCCCATCCCCAGATCTCCTCATCCTTCAATAATGATAATGGTAGAAATTATGCTGAAATTCACCAATGCATCCTCTGGAGCCAGGTACTGTATGCAGTGGTTTATATGAATTCCCTCATTTTGTCCTCCTGACAGCTCTGAGAGCCGAATTGTTGTCATCCCCATTTTGTAAATTAGAAAACCAAAGTTGAGTCTGCCTCTTCCACGAAGCCTTTCCTGACTGCCCCAGTGGATACCTTTGCTCCCTTCTCTCAATTCCTGCCCGTGTCTGGAGCCCAACGCAGTCACAGCATCAGGCACTGGTCTGTGATCCTAAACAACAGAAATGTATTTTGCTTATAATTTTGACAGCTAGGAGTCCAAGAACAAGGTGTTGGCAGGGTTGGTTTCTCTGAGGCCACTCTCTTTGGCTTGTTGATGGCTGTCTTCTCCCTGTGTCCTCACGTGGTCTTCCCTCTGTGTGTGTCCGCATCCTCATCTCCTTTTCTTTTCTTTTCTTTTCTTTTTTTTTTTTTTTTGAGATGGAATTTCGCTCTTGTTGCCCAGGCTGGAGTGCAATGGTATGATCTCAGCTCACTGCAACCTCCACCTCCCGGGTTCAAGCGATTCTCCAGCCTCAGCCTCCCAAGTAGCTGGGATTATAGGCGCCCACCATAACGCCCAGCTAATTTTTTTTTTTTTTTGTATTTTTAGTAGAGACAGGGTTTCACCATGTTGGCCAGGTTGGTCTCGAACTCCTGACCTCAGGTGATCCACCTGCCTCGGCCTCCCAAAGTGCTGGGATTATAGGTGTGAGCCACTGCACTGGGCCCTCTCCTTTTCTCCTAAGGACACCAGGCCCATCCTAAGGGCCCCAGTCTGGCTTAATTGCCTCCTTGAAGACCTTATCTTCAAATACAGTCACATTCCGAGGGACCAGGGGTGAGGACTGCGCGTATTTTGCAGAGACACAGTTCAGCACATGACCCCTGAATCATGGTTTGCAGCCCCCAGGAAAGAATGACACTTGTCACCCCCTCTGCCCATAAAGCAAGCCTGGAAGGTGAGGACAGCAGGCATTGTTATTTTTCTCTTCCCCACGGTTGCCCACACTTCCTGATGCTTGGAGGTGGCCCATCTCAGGTTACCGCTTTGCCTGGGGAGCTGGTGCAGCCAGAGTTGCAGCCCAGGCCTCGGATTCCACATTCTCTCCTCTTTTCAAGGCACAGCAAGAGACTGGAGAGACCAGTGCCTTTGCTCGATGTGACAAGTTAATAAAGTGTCCTCCTCTCTGGGCTGTAGTGCCAGTGTCTCCGCCGTGGGAACCTGGCAGTGTCTCTCCTGGCAGCCTCCACAGGCCCAGTGTCATTCTGGGACTCAGCACAGGTCTTCTCCATTTCTGCACCTGTACATTGCAGGTCACACCTGAGGATAGGACGACCTGAGGGCTGAGTGAGCTGACACGGTGAAGAGCTGCCAGCGCCTGCCCCAGTGGGGACTCCCTATTCTGTTCCGCATGCACCCAGGACTCCCCTTGAACACAGCAGTCTCCCCCTGCCTGGGGGACGGTGGGTCAGGGCCAACACTGTGCAAGAAGCCGTGGGAAGCCACCTCCACCCGCAACAAGCAGCTCAAAGCATCAGCAAGTCAAGAGCGTGGTTTTTAACTACAACAGGCAGAGAGGAAAGAGATGGTGAGTGTAAGGCTCTCACTCCCAGGCATTTACCAGGGCTCTGTGGTGCATCTCTTCCTTAGCTCACTCCTGGCCAGGATGTTCTTCCCTGACCCTGTTGCAGGTCACTGACGTCCCCAACCATGAGGACTTGTGATGGGCCCAGTGGGAGGTCGCAGCCAGGCACTATGATTGGGGGACTGAGTGGCTCTGAAAGATGTACCCTTCTTTCCCTTTCAGCTCAGAAGCAGCAGCCCCAGCTCTCGGCAGCTGGCTCCCTGCAAGCTGCTGCACACACGGCAAACCTCCTCTCCACGCCCGGCCCAGTGTGGTTCCCCCAGCAGATCAGGCCTGGCTGCCTCCGTGTCCACACCCTGACCTGCGGCTGAGGCCCATTTCTGTCTCCCGCGGTGATCCTACCTCCCAGCACGCTCCCATGTAGCTGTTGATTGTTCTCCTTCCCTTCCTCCCTTCCTCCCATCCTTTCTCCCTCTTCCCTGTCTGTGAATGGCATTTCTGGAGTGTGAGAGAGGCCCGGGACCGCAGGTATGTTTCCTGTCTGCCCGTTCTAATCAAAGGCAGATGCCTGCGGTGCGTCTGGCCTCGCAGAAGCGGAGAACCCATCCTCGGAGAGGGGCCAGAGGAGAACTGTGTGCTCCTTTATAGCTGCATGCTCGGGTAAGGGCTCTCTTTTTGCCTTTTACTATTTTAACTTCAGAAAGGCTACCCATCCTGTCTGGGGCTCCTGCCCTGCCTAGGACAGTAAGGTGGTATAGAATCGTCATCAGCTGTGAGCCCAGATAGTCCTGAGTTCAAATCCTGTGCCATCATTTCTTAGCTTCCCCTACCTTTCGTCCTCTGGAAAAAGGGGATGCTAGGTGAGGGACGAGGGAACAGTACAGCCACCAGCCCTGGCTTGCTGTTGGAGGGATGAGGCGGCAGAGCCCGCAGAAAGGTGGATACTTCATAGTGCCAGCCACGTTCCCGCCCCACCCCACAGTGCCCGAACCTGCAGGCGAGGCTGTAACCACGAGGAAAGCATCAGGGACCCGGTCACTCGTGCTCATGGACGACCTGCCCCTCCCAAGTCAAAGGTCGTCGCAGGAGAGCTGCCCGGGAAAGGAAGCGAAACCTGGCATTGTTCCAACAACCTCTTAGGCCCTGAATTTCTGTTTCTTAACAAAGTCACTGTTAGATTGTGTTGAAAAATAAGATCTAGGCTAACTTCCTTCTTGGGTCTTGGGACACTTTCTTGCTGTTATATGATCAAGGTGGGGGCTGCATAACTATTCCCCGCTGCACATACTCCCTCCCTTCCCCCTCAACTCCCTCCTTCCCCAACGCCCCCCACCCAGTGCAATCTACTTACTGTCTCTCCCACAGTGTTCCCCTAACAGGTTCCTGCTGGCACAAAGGGTCCCACCTTTGAAGACCTTTGGGTTTAAATCCCAGCTCAGTTCCTAACCAGCTGTGTGACATAGGAAAGTTGCTTAACCTCTCTGAGTCTCAGGATCGCCATCTGCAAAATCAAAGGGCTGATGGCAACATCTTCTTCTCAGGACTCATGGAAAATTAAACGAGCGCTGCTTCCAAAGATGTTTGTGCAGGGTGGAAACTCAGCACAGGGTCGTGTCCATTTCACAGCCTTCCAAGGGCTGCAGCCTAAATGTCTCCAGCCACGGGAGAGGATGACAGCTGCCCTTCTGTGGCAGGCCTTGGAGTAAAACTCCCAAACCATCCCCAGCCAGCAGAGGCTGCCCAGCCCAGCCCCTCCAGCAGGGCGGCTCCATAGACTACAGGGCAATACGGCCCAGAGGCTGTCCCTGTCCACTCCTGTTGCGCCAAGCTGGCTCCGGGAGGGGCTGGTGACTGGGAAAGATGCTACAGACACAAGTTTGATTTTTCATTAAATCCTCTAAACATTGTGAAAGGAAAATAAATATTGGGACCCCAAAATCACTAAGCCAAAGGATAAAGTCAAGCTGGGAACTGCTTAGGGCAAACCTGCCTCCCATTCTATTGCTAAAAAAAAAAGATGGCTACTAAGATTCAAAAGCTACATACCTCCCTCACAAGGAATTTCCTTCTGGACAAATGACAGACAGAACTCAAAGTCATCCCTCTGCTCGCCGAGATAAATGCATATCTGATTGCCTCCTTTGGAAAGGCTCATCAGAAACTCAAAAGAGTTTCACTGGGCTCCGTGGCTCATGCTTGTAATCCCAGCACTTTGGGAGGCCAAGGTGGGCGGATCATGAGGTCAGGAGATCAAGACCATCCTGGCTAAAACGGTGAAACCCCGTCTGTACCAAAAAAATACAAAAAAATTAGCCAGGCGTGGTGGCGGGTGCCTGTAGTCCCAGCTACTTGGGAGGCTGAGGCAGGAGAATGGCGTGAACCCAGGAGGCGGAGCTTGCAGTAAGCCGAGATTGCACCACCGCACTCCAGCCTGGGCGACAGAGCGAGACTCCATCTCAAAAAAAAAAAAAAAGAATGCAACCATTTGTCTCTCACCTACCTATGGCCTGGAAGCCCCTCCCTGCCTAGAGTTGTCCCGCCTTTCTGGACAGAACCGATGTACATCTTACACATATTGATTGATGTCTCATGTCTCCCTAAAATGTATATCATATGGTTTGGTTGTGTCCCCACCCAAATCTCATCTTGAATTGTAGCTCCCACAGTTCTCAAGTGTTGTGGGAGGGACCCAGTGGGAGATGATTGAATCATGGGGCCGGTTTCCCCCATACTGTTCTCGTGGTAGTGAATAAGTCTCACGAGATCTGATGGTTTTAGAAGGGGTTTCCTTTTTGGCTTGGCTCTCATTTCCCTCTTTGCCTGACACCATGTATGACATGCCTTTCACCTTCCATGATTATGAGGCCTCCCCAGCCATGTGGAACTGTGTGAGTCCTTTAAACCTCTTTTTCTTTATAAATTGCCCAGATTCGGGTATGTCTTTATCGGCAGCATGAAAACGGTCTAATACATGTATAAAACCAAGCTGTGCCCTGACCACCGTGGGCAAATGTCATCAGGACCTCCTGAGGTTGTGTCATAGGCATGCGTCCTTAATGTTGGCAAAATAAACTTCCTAAATTGACTGAGACCTGTCTCAGATATTTGGGGTTCACAATGTCAAAGGTGATGCTTTATGGAAAATGTAGGTTGGCATTATGGAAAATCTAGAAAACATATACAAAGTCAAACGTATTTTGAAAATCTTATGATCAACCCCACACTGTGAATGATGGAGTCTTTTTCCATCCTCCACCTCTGACTTTGGCTCACTGGTTGATGACATCTTATTGTACATCCTGCTTTGTATCCTGACTTTGAGCCTACCATTATACAGTCATCAGCCCAAGGAAACGGTCTCACTATTTCCCAGTTTTATTGATGAAGATATTCAGGCTTTAAATAAGTTGGCCAAGGTCATAGAGGTCAAGGTCATATGGAAGAGCCACTTGCCTCCTTTCCACAGGCTGCTGATGGTGATCTCCACTTCTGAGAAACAACCACAAATAATAACAAAAGAACTATTAACCCTTGGCCTTCAAAGAGCACTTTATTCTCTGAGAAGTACTTTTATTACTGTTATTTCTTCCTGTCCTTCAAACACCCCTGCAAGACAGACAGGAAGGCTACCAGTATTTTCAATTTGTAAATGAGGATCCAAGAAGTGAATGACTTGGCCGTAGTCATGGAGGTGGAGGCGAAATAAAAGACGCAGGCTATGCCCTTTGCGTGCCCCACCACCTTCTCAGATGGCGCTGGGCTACCTCCCAGGGCTTAGGCAGAGTGAAGAAGAAGAGATGAAAGCTAAGATGAGGCAAACAGGAGGTGAGAGAGAAGTTCTGTCAGGAAATTCACAGGAGGGCTGCAGAAAACTCATCTTTGCCCGCAATGCCTACTCCAGCCGGATATTAACACAGTGGGCTCCACACCAACATTCTGATAGATTCTGAGCTACAAGCTTCCAGAATATTAGCAGCTGAGCTCCTCCCCCTCGGGCCAAATATGCCACCAAAAAGCTGTTTCCCAGGTGATTTATTGTAGGTCAGAACCCTAATCAAGCTCCAATTCAATTTAACTGCTGGTGATTTTAGCACAGTGCTCTGAGCTTCCATTTAAATGCAAGGGGAATTGACTTTTGGAGTAACAGCTTCAGGGGAGGCTTTCTTCCCATGCCTAGATGGAGCAGAAGCTCACACTGTGCACCCAGCAATGAACTGGGACCCTTTTGGAGGCACCTGACTCGGGCTTCTGGATTCTGTCAGGAGGCAGATGTGCCATTACCAAGAGGCCAGGCATTAGAAAGTGCTCAGCACGGTTCTCGCAGGGCAAAGGCAGCCCCCTGCTCAACTCACTCATACCTGAGGAGATGTGAAGCAAAGGTCACGGAAGGCCCAAGGTACTCCTGGCACCCCTAGACCCCAAAATACAAAGGACCAACAGCGCCATCAGGCACACACTCTCTCTCTCTGCCCCTTGGTCTCCCTCTGTCTCTTCAACTCTATATCTCTGTCTCTCTTTGTGTCTCTACCTCTTTCTCTCTGTCTCTCTGTTTCTATCTCTTGGCCTCTCTCTGTTTCTGTCTCTATATATTTCTCTCTGTATCTGTCTCTATCTCTCTGTCTGTGTCTCTATTTCTCTCTCTCTGCATCTCCGTCTCTCTCTCTCCACATCTGTATCTCTGCCTCTCCCTCTGTGTCTCTATCTTTCTCTCTGTCTCTATCTCCTCCCAGGGCGGAGGAGCTCAGCTGCTAATATTCTGGAAGCTTGTAGTTCAGAATCTATCAGAATGTTGGTGGGGAGCCCTCCGTGTTGATATCTGGCTGGAGCAGGCATTGCAGGCAAAGATGAGTTTTCTGCAGCCCTCTCTCTGTCTCTGTTTCTGTCTCTGTCTATCTCTTTCTCTGTCTCTTTCTATCTCTGTCTCCATCTCTCTTATCCCTCTGTGCCTTTCTGTCTCTGTCTCTATCTCTGTCTCTTTGTCTCTGTCTCTATTTCTGTTTCTGTCTATCTCTGTCTCTCTTTCTGTCTCTCTGTCTCTGTCTCTCTCTGTCCCTGTCTCTCTGTCTGTCTTTCAGTCTCTGTCACTGTCTCTCATATGCTCAAGGGTATTTATGCTACGTGGGCATTTGCAAGGAGCTTTTGAGTCTGAGTTATCATCTGGGATTTCTATCAGGCTCCATCTGCTTCCAGAACTGTGTACAAACAGTAACATCCAAAGCTCAGAAAAGGGAGGACATAAAACATTTTCATTTGTTCTGACCAGAAAAGCCATATGATCTAGAATGTGTGAAAGAAAGTCAGAAAAAATAAGGGAAAACAGATTGTCAGTGCTGGTCATAGCCCACAAGAGTCTCTCAGACCCAAACAATGTGGCCCAGACGTACATAAAACAAGCCCACAACATATGCCTGTGTCCAACAGCACAGCTTTCTGAGCCACTCCTCCTTGTCTACTGGAAGAGCAAATGAACCTGGTTGAAATCCTGGCTCTACAGCTTTCTACTATGTCATCTTGAGCAAATTCTTAACTTTTCTGAGCCTCAGTTCCCTCCACTGCAAAATAGGACTAGTAATTTCTACTATGTAGGAGTATCATGAAGATTAAACCCTTTAAAAACCTCTAGCATGGTGTCTACCACGTCACAAGGGTTCAGTAAATGGTAATGGTGGTGATGGCTGTTGTGGTGTGGTGATGGTGGCAAAGATGATGGCACTGAAGGTGGTAATGAGAGTGAAGGTGGTAATGGTGGCAGTGGTGGTGGTAGAGGGATGTGGTGATGGGAACTATGGAAGAGGAGATTAAGATGGTGCTGGTGGAGGTGGTA
Organism: Homo sapiens; assembly: GCF_000001405.40. Taxonomy (NCBI): domain Eukaryota; kingdom Metazoa; phylum Chordata; class Mammalia; order Primates; family Hominidae; genus Homo; species Homo sapiens. Next base: position 93,174,499 of record NC_000015.10, on the reverse strand, counting down.
GTTGCAGTAGCAGCATCAGCATTTTAGGAAGACCAGGCATATCAGTGACAAACTGCTCCTGCTTGTCAGATGCATTTCTCCCTAAAAGACTTCCAGAATCACCATTATGCATTCCAATCCTGCTATGATTGGATATTTGACCCTCCAAACCTCATGTTGAAATTTCATCCCCGATCTTGAAGGTGGAGCCTAGTAGGAGCTGTTCGATCACAGGGGTGGATCTCTCATGAACAGCATGTGCTATCCTCATAGTAACAAGGGAGAGTTCCTGCTCTATTAGGCCCCAAAAGAGTCCCCTTGAGAGCTGGTTGTTAAAACAAGCCTGGCACCTTTTCCCTTGCTCTTGCTTCCTCTCTCATCATGTGATCTGCACACACCAGCTCCCCCTTCACCTTCTGCCTTGAGTGGAAGCTTCCTGAGGCCCTCGCCAGAAGCAGATGCCTATGCTACGCTTCTTGTACAGCCTGCAGAACCGTGAGCCAAATAAACCTCTTTTCTTCATAAATTACCCAGCTTCAAGTTGAACAATGAGAACACATGGACACAGGGAGGGGAACATCACACACTGGGCCTTGTCAGGGGGTGGGGGGCATGGGGAGGGAGAGCATTAGGAAAAATACCAAATGCATGCAGGGCTTAAAAGCTAGATGATGGGTTGATGGGTGCAGCAAACATGGCACATGTATACCTATGTAACAAACCTGCACGTTCTGCACATATATCCCAGAACTTAAAGTAAAATAATTTTTTAAACAAATCACCCAGCTTCAGGTATTCCTTTATAGCAACACAAACAGACTAAGACAAATCCCTTCAGCCTGATTCAGACAATAGCTGGTTATGAGTCATTTCAACACAGCAAACGTTGAGCCAGGTCTGGGCTAAGGCCTGGGAGTGCCATCATGAAAAAAACATGTGCATTCTTTCGCCTTTCTCTTGACTCTTTCACTTCCTGCCTCCTAAGTACTCAGCTTTCCAAGCACAGAGAGGCTTTTTTACCAGCTGCTATGGTTTGAATGTTCATGTGTTGGAAACTTAATCCCCAATACAACAGTGTGAGAAGTGGGACCTTCAAGAGATGCTTAGGTCGTGAGGGCTCTGCTCTCATGAATGGATTAATATCATTATCATGGCAGTGGGAGAGTTATCTCAGGAGTGGGCTTGTTATAAAAGTTAGTTTTGCCCCCCTTGCTCTCTTACTCTCCCTCTCTTGCCTTTCTGCTTTCCGCCATGGGATGAAGCAGCAGAAAGGCCCTCATCAGATACCAGTACCATGCTCTTGGACTTCCCCTCCTCCAGAAACATGAGCTACATAAACTTATTTATAAATTACCCAGTCTGTGGTATTCTATTATTGCAACACAAAATGGACAAAGACACCTGCTCTCCCTGCTTCCTCCCCATCTCCCTTTCTGCCCTGAAGTCCCGATTTCTTGTTGGCTGTTGTACGTGAGATCTTACACTAGGGAAACCCAAAATGAACAACAAAAATACTGATTTTTCTTCAGTATAAGCCAAGAACTTCCTCCTGCCTTGCCCTAAACTGACCTTGATGAATCCCCTCAACATTCAGAGAACAAACTGTTTTTAAAAGGTGAGCCTTGGCTCGGCCCGGTGGCTCACGCCTGTAATCCCAACACTTTGGGAGGCCAAGGCGGGCAGATCACTTGAGGTCAGGAGTTCGAGACCAGCCTGGCCAATATGGTGAAACCCCATCTCTACTAAAAATACAAAAATTAGCCGGGCATGGTGGCATGTGCCTGTAGTCCCAGCTACTCAGAAGCCTGAGGCAGAAGAATTGCTTGAACCCAGGAGGCAAAAGTTGCAGAGAGCCAAGATCGCACCACTGCACTCCAGCCTGGGCACCAAGAGCGAGACTCCATCTCAAAAGAAAAAAAAAGGAAAAAAAGGTGAGCCTCATAATTGTAAACTCAAATTGGATTTAGAACAGAAGACCCAAGAACTGAGTGACAAATTTTAAAAGGCAATATTGACTCAAAGCTAATTTTACCCTATGCACACTGAAGGCTCTTGAGAGACAGAGAGATGTGTCCTGTCAAATTTTGCATACGACACATTTTTCTATGGAGATTTCAATAACAATGATATACGTGAAGGAAACAGCAGATCTGGAGTCAAAGCTCTGGGTTCAGGTCCAGGTCCTTTTAGTAGCAACTCATTCAATCTCCCCAAGCCTCAATTTTCATATCTTCAAATTGGGGATAATTTCCCATGATGAGGAATGGATTGGTTTTTAAATGGTGAAGAGCTCTGCAAATGTGAGCATTTTTTATTCTTCTGGCTTATTTGTACATCTTTCCAGAACAACCAACTTTCATTCTTTAGGCAGGGCTGTGGCTCCCCGCTGTCCCTGTACAATGTCTTTTAGTCTATCTCCTTCTGTTTTCAAGCCCCTTCCTAAAAACTTAAGTGGTAATGAGGTCTGTGAAAAACTCCCTTGAAATAGGGTCAGGGTAGGACCACACACTGCATCAGATTGTAGCCTATGATAACGGAAACTTCTGTAGATTGAGGTTGAGGGGCTAGAAAACATTTTGCCGGGGAATTTGCATATATATGTATCTTCCTGGGCTTGGCAGTCTCTTCCTGGGAAACTTTCCCACACAACAGGGAATGAAGTGATTTTTAAAATCTACTCTGCCCTTTTCCAACAATTCCATTCCCATTCCCACAAGCCGGGGAATTTTTAAGGGGCAAGGTGAGGAAAGCAAACTGCTGAGAGATTGAAATATTCCAACTGAGCCTTATTTAGAGAACATCACTGTACTGCAGCATGAAGGGCAATGCCTGGTATGTCACAACAATTCAAGAAATACTTGGGATAGCTGATGGCTGGGAGCCTGAGAGCCTGCACCTGTTCTTCCCTTTTTCTACAATTCTTTCTACTTATCCCCCGGTCACTTTTTTTTTTCCAGCAAAACCTGAACTCGATTTCTTTTTTCTGGGAAGCCTTCCCCTACCATCATCCTGTACTCCCACCTCCTCTAAATGGCCCCAGAACAACTTGGACATAAATCTCTAGACCCCTTTCATACTTTACTGGAATCTTTGGTTCAGTGGCATCCACTCCATTAGTCTGTGAGCTGCTTTAAAGCAAAGACTGTACTTTCTTTTGTGTATCTTCACATCTCCAAACCCAAGAAAATTGGCATGAACCTATTAATTGACATCAAGAGCTCATTTGGAATTTATTCTCCCAGAGTTCTAACATTACAAGTTACAATTATATCAATGGAGAAATAAGCCAAAATAATGTGGAATCCCAGAAATCAGTGGTGACAAGGACACACATAACAAAAGATCTTCTTCCACTCACCCAGGGCCTTAAAAACAATGAGCATCAAGAAGAATGACTATGTGGCCTCCTAAGAATTGGTGCTTATGCCAGAGCCTCTTCTGTGACTTCCCCAGCAGCAGGGTAGTCTGGCTGCTGTGGAGCCAACCTGGCTCAAAGACACCTGGCTTCCTTCTTCAATTCACTTATGAGCCCTGATATGTGAGTAAACTTCAGGGTCCTCAACAATGCAATGGGGGTACTCATCCTTCACCCCCATCTGTTTCTCACCACTTTCCAAAACATCGACTTTATTTTATTTTTAACCATGGGAAAATATCCTAAGCTTCTCATAGCCAGGTGGTGCTCCCAGAATCTTCCCCACATTCCACCACATGTCTGCCCCTGTCACTGTTAAAGTTGGGTCTGCTTGGGAGCCAAGAAATTCTCATGAATCCCAAACCAGAAAACTTGTTTCTAACATATCTTTCAGGGGTCTTGGTGCCATGTTTTCAAATCCCAACATGTAGCTGATTAGACAAACGGAGCTTTGCCTTCTTGCTAAGCAGCAGATGTCATCCGCTGACTGAAGGGAGAGTCTTTTAAAACTCATGGCACATATTAACATAGCAGAGAAAAGTGACTACACTTGCCTTCACTCAGAGAATGTAGCTGGACAGCTCCCCTGAGAAGTGTCTCGCCCGGGTTCAATGCAGTCTTGCAAGTAACTTCACAGCCACTTTTCCAGGGCACTGCTGGATGCTGAACAGAGGATGAAGAATTATTCCACAGAAAGCCAGACCGGGGCTTGAAAAAGCCATTGACAAAAAAGAAATATACATGGCTGATATTATAAAATTGAACCATTCGTTTTGGAAAATGTACAAGTCAAAAAGCACATTTATCCACTCACTGCAGGTGAGAATGTGAAATGCTAACTTTCTGACAGATTACTTAGAAATACTGAGTTACTTAGAAATACTAAATCTGCAAATTGGGGCGGGCACGGTGGCTCATGCCTGTAATCCCAGCACTTTGGGAAGCCAAGGCACACGGATCATTTGAGGTCAGGAGTTCGAGACCAGCCTAGCCAACATGGCGAAACCCCATCTCTACTAAAAATACAAAAAAACTAGCGGGGCATGGTGATGTGTGCCTATAATCCCAGCTACTCAGGAGGCTGAGGCAGGAGAATCACTTGAACCCGGGAGGCAGAGGTTGCAGTGAGCAAAGATCTCGCCACTGCACTCTAGCCTGGGTGACAGGGCAAGACTCCATCTCAAAAAAAAAAAAAAAAAAAAAAATCTGCAAAATGTACCCACCCTTTGAGTCAGTAGTTCCACTTCTAGAAATCTATTCCAAGGAAATGATCAATGATTATGGTTGTGATAGACGCACAAGGGTCTATACTGCTACATTGTTTGAATAGGAAGGATCTAGAACCAATATAGTTGAACAATATGTCCATAAGAATTTATAATACGTACATCTGATTGAAAATTGTAGAATACCATGCAGCTCTGAAAAGCCATTCTACACAATAGGGTTTGGCAAACAGTTTCAAGCGCCTGAGGGTGAATACTTCAGGCTTTGCGGGCCACAAGCCAAAATCAAGGATATTATTTGTAATACTTACAATAATGAGAGGAAACAAATTTCCACACATTTTTTGGACAAATTAAAAATACAAGAATGATTAATTACAACTTTTTGTAATACAGGTCAACCAGTGAGAATAATCGAATTCTTTCTGGACTAACAATATTTTGATGAATTGGAGTTCAAAGTCAGTTTTCTTTACCATCAAATTGATTTGAAATGTTTGTCTGTAAAAAAACAGCTGGCAGACCAGATGAAAACATACAACAGATCAGATTTGGCCCGTGCCTATACTTTGCGGATCTCTGCTATAGAGAAATACTTTGCTCACATGGAAGAACATTCATGAAATATTGTTATGCAGAATCTGAAACAGTATAAGCAGTGTGTATAGCAGTCCTTTGTACTATTCCCCTAATATCTCCAGTTCTCTGCCTTTCTAGGCACAGAGTAGAAGTGCATGTCCCAGCCCCTTTGTGACCACATGTGACCACAAGACTAGTTCTAGCCAATTTTCTCACTGTGGAAATAACCCATGTTATTCTAAGGCCACAGACTGGGAGAAAATATTCGCAAATCACATATCTGGCTTCTATCCAGAATATATTCTTTACAGTCTCAAACTCACTCAGTAAGAAAACAAACAACCCAGTTTTTTTAAATGAGCAAAAGATTTAAATAGACATTTCACCAAAGAAGACATATGGGTGGCAAATAAGCATGTGAAAAGACACTCAATGTTATTAATCATTAGAGAAATGCAAATGAAAACTACAACCAGATACCATTTTGCACCTATTAGAATAGCTTAAATTAAACAAAAAAAAAAGAACTGACAATACCAAGTGTTGGGAAGGAAAAGAAGGCAGTAGAACTCCCACATATTCTTGGTGAAAATGTAAAACAGTACAGCTGATTTGGAAAAGTGTGGCAGATTCTTATAAAGTTAAATATACCACATGACTCAACAATCTTGCTCCAATATATTTGCTCAAAAGATATAAAAATCTATGTTCACACGAAGACCTATATGTGAATGTTTATGGCAGCTTTATTTGTGACCATCAAAAACTGTAAACAACCCAGATGTCCTTCAGCTGGGGAACAGATCAACAAATTGCGGTACATCCGTGTAATGGAATGCTACTCAGCCAGGAAAAGGAATGCAATTATTGAGACATACAATCACATGGATGAATCGTGAACATAATTTCTAAATGAAAGTAGTCAGACTCAAAAGGTTAAATATTGCATGATTCCATTTATATTACATTGTAGAAAAGGCAAAACTATAGGGACAGAGAACAGATGGCTGCCAGGGGCTGGGTGTAGCGGGAGTGGATGATCACAAAGGAGCAGCATGCAGGGTAGAGCAGGGGGTTGGTAGAAGTTCCTTTGTCTTGATTGTGGTGCAGTCGCATGATTATGCATTTGTCAAAACATAAAAAACTATACACCAAAAAAAGTGAATTGTACTGTATGGAAAATACAAAACAGAGTTTTTTTCGATGTTTGATGCTGATTCTGGAAGGAAGGAAGGAAGGGAGGAAGGGAGGGAGGGAGGGAAGAGGGAAGGAAGGGGAAAGGAGGGAGTAAGGGAAGGAAAGAAGGAAGGGAGGGAGGAAGGAAAGAAGGAAGGAAGGAAGGGAAGGAGGGAGGGAGGGAAGGAAAGAAGGAAGGGAGGGAGGGAGGGAGGGAGGGAGGGAAGGAAAGAAGGAAGGGAGGGAGGGAGGGAGGGAGGGAAGGAAAGAAGGAAGGGAGGGAGGGAGGGAAGGGAGGAAGGAAAGAAGGAGGGAAGGGAGGGGGAATGAAGGGGAAAGGAGGGAGTAAGGGAAGGAGGGAAGGAAGGAAAGAAGAAAGGAAGGAAGGGAAAGGGAAAAAAGGGAGGGAGGGAGGGAAGGAGGGAAAAGAAAAGAAAAAAGGAAAGGAAAGAAGAGAGGGAAGGAGGGAAGAAGGGAATCAGCAAGAGAAGGAAGGGCTGAAGGGTGGAAGAGAGAGAAAGACCACTGCATGGGCCGTGTTGATGAGCAGCTCAGCCCTGCTTAGCCCTGAGATCTAGCCTGGCTGCTGCCCCTCCTTGGGCCCAGTGTGGGAGTGAGCTGAAGCATAGGCTGCAACTTGGAAGCTGATGGAGCATCACTCGCTACTGAGGCTTTCAGGCAAAGGGAAGCCTGAAGTCACTGGAGCAGCCCAGCGAGTGCCCTCAGTGCAGACCTGCAAAGGCATCTCCTGGCACCTGCCTCTGCCCTTTGCAAACCCTGGTCACGCAGCTCCCTACATCTGCAGGCAGAGGTTCTGCCACATCCACCAGTTCAATTCTTTTGGGCTCAATCCTGCACAGAAGCAAATGGAAGTCAGAGAAAGAGGTCGAAAGCTCATCGCAGATTCAGCAGCCTGCACTGAATGCCTCACTGAGCCCAGGCTGAGCAGAGGGTATTCCTGCCCACCGTTTTGCCCAGTAATCTTATTCCTGAGCCACACATTTGAAGCCCACATATCCCAGTTGTCAATGTGCAGATTAAATGAGACGAAGTGCAATGTCTAACACCAAGGATCAGCAGATAAATGAATGCTGACATGTGGCTTTTGTTCCTCCCCTTGATCCTGAGGTTAGCATCCTGGCCTGGGAGCTCTGGTTGAAGGTGGAAGGTAAAGCAATCAACCAATGTTTCATGAGCACCTGTACAGATGAACATCCTGCCACCGTCTGTGTAGTGCAACTGGGTGCTCCCTCACCCCGCCCCTCCCAGACCCCACAGGATCAAAGAGGCTGGGTGCTACCGAGAACAAGCCTTCAGCAGAAGCTCGATTCCGCAGAGAACCAGACCTTCGGCTCCCTGGGGATGGGGGCGGGTGTTACTCAACTGGGGTCCCAGTGAGCTTGGCAGCAAGCACAGCGTTGGGTCCCATCTGGTGAAGAATGAATGAATGAATGAATGAATGAATGAATGAATGAATTCACACATGCACTGTCACCTGTATCTGTTCATACCAAAAGCAAATGATCAAAATCAGTCAATAAAGCATAGAAAACACGGTATATCCTAGTGCAGGGCTTCATGGGCCAGCTGGTGGCCAGTCAGACTTAAGATCAAATCCCACCCTGCTGCTCGCTGGCTGGGAGGAGCTGGACAAGCAATTTCCTCTCTGGGAGCCATTTCTTCATTAGTACAATAGGGGAGCATGTGAAATCTCCCTCATAGGGTTGCCGTGGGGATTAAATGAAGTAATTCATGTAAAGCACTTAGGACAATGCCAGGAACAAAGCGAGTATCAATGAATGGCACCTATCGTTATCACTGTCATCATCGTTATCACTATTCAGCTGTGGCAAAAGAATAGAGCCACAAAAGTTGAAGCGGTGAAGTGGATGCTGCCTGCTCTGAAGCCTGGACTCTACTGACAGACTTCATGAAAGAGGCCCAATTAACAGGTCCCCTTATGGTGTCTCCATCTCTGTGATAACAAGGAAGGGCAGGGGACAGACCATCGTAATGGTTCTTTTTTTTTTCCTCCTATACCTCCCAGAATGGAAGACAATAGCAACATCAAACAGCCCCCGACTGCTGTGTCTTGCATGTTGTCCCTGGCACCCTGTGTGTGTTGTTGCTGTTTGTGCTCTGTTTGCTTATTTCTCCATCACTCTCCTGGGCAAAATTGATCCCCTCATCAGCAGCTGGGAGACAACCGGCTATGATCTCACGCCTTTGGAAGGTCAGCTCAAGAGGCAGCATCTTCCTAGCAACAGTTACCAGGGAAGATTATGAGGGTGGACTCCACTCCCAGGGGAGAGGAAGACATGGAGGGGTAAATAATTGGCATTTGTTTAAATGAGGGGGGGCGGGGGGTGGGAGGTGGGAGGGCTTGCCACTGTGAAGCGGGTATGCAATCTCCCCGGGTAGTGTGCCCCTCATTCCCTCTGTTAGAAGTTCTGGCTGGCCTTTTTGTCTTAAAGTATTAAGCTGAAAATTATTCAGTCCAAAGATTCTTAACCTTGTCAGACCCAACATCCCATTTTATAAAATGTTCAGGACAATAATTCACAACATCCCTTTGGCTATTCTTAAATGAAACTATAGACATATAAGCTGCCTAAGTACATAATTTTTTTTTTTTTTTGAGACAGAGTCTCTCTCTGTCACCTAGGCTGGAGTGCAGTGGCGTGATCTCCGCTCATTGCAAGCTCCACCTCCCGGATTCACGCCATTCTCCTGCCTCAGCCTCCCAAATAGCTGTGACTACAGGCGCCCACCACCACGCCTGGCAAATTTTTTGTATTTTCAGTAGAGATGGGGTTTCACTATGTTAGCCAGGATGGTGTTGATCTCCTGACCTTGTGATCCGCCCGCCTCGGCCTCCCAAAGTGCTGGGATTACAGGTGTGAGCCACCATGCCCGGCATAAGTACATAATTTTTAAAACCAATATAATGCCCTGTAATATAAATGAGAAGTAAAGTAATACACAATACAATGAAAGTCTGGTATGTTTTCCATTTGTTCACTAATACACCTGGAAAACATAATGAATACATCAGGTGCTTACACTATGTATTCATATGTACGGTATGTTATCTACATTGGTCTTTTTTTTTCTTCTGCCCCTCCTCTACCTCTGTACTTTCTAGTAGACATTAGAGACTAAGTAATTTATAAAGAAAAGAGGTTAAATTGGCTTATGATTCTGCAGGCTGTACAGGGAGCATAACACTGGCTTATGTTTCTGGGGAGAACTCAGGAAGCTTCCAATCATGGCAGAAGGTGAAGGAGGAGCAGGCATCTCACACGGCAAAAGCAGGATCAAGGGGCAGGGGAGGTGCCACACAATTTTAAACAACCAGATCTAGATCACTAGAATAGCACCAGGGGATAGTGCTAAACCACTCATGCAAAATCCACCCCCATTAGCCAGTCACCTCCTACCAGGCTCCACCTCCAGCACTGGGGATTACAATTCGACGTGAGATTGTGGGCAGGGACACAGATCCAAACCACATCAGTGACAGATACGAATCACCAAGAATCCAATGGTTAGAAGTAAAGTGTGAGAGCACGACATCAGCACTTCAAACCCTAAGAAGGGTGTTGTCATCAGTGATGTGATTTCCCAAAATGTGAGCAGTTCTTGGTAAAGCTAAAAGCAAAACAAAGTACACACTTTCTTCCATTTGCATAGTACTTACCTTCCTCGAAAACTCAGTGTATATTAAAACCACAAAATAGTGGATTGAGTTTATATGTAAAACAGTGGGATTTGAGGCCCAGATCATCACAACAAGTTTTGTACCCAGTGAATGACCAGCAGAGGAATGTCAGTGGGATATGGCTCAGGATGCCTTGTGCCCCGCAGGGTCCCATGACTCTCTGGTCCCCACCAACCAATGCCAGTAGAACCCTGCCTCATTGCTGTGACGGTCAAAAATGTCCCCATGGCTGGGCGCAGTGGCTCTCGTCTGTAATCCCAGCACTTTGGGAGGCCGAGGCGGGCGGATCACGAGGTCAGGAGTTTGAGACCAGCCTGACCAACATGGTGAAACCCTGTCTCTCATAAAATTACAAAATTAGCAAGGGGTGGTGGCGCACATCTGTAATCCCAGTTACTCAGGAGGCTGAGGCAGGAGAATCACTTGAACCCGGGAGGCAGAGGTTGCAGTGAGCCACGATCATGCCATTGCACTCCAGCCTGGGCGACAGAGAGAGACTCTGACCCAGAAAAAAAAAAATGTCCCCACAAATTTCCCAAATGTTTCCTACGAGTACCAGTGGTCTAGTTCAATCCCCTCAATCTAAGGGTGGATAAACTGAGGTTCAGAAGAAAAGAAGTGGCTTGTTCAAGAGAAAGCCAAGATGAGAACCAGAGTCTTCCAATGTCCAGGTCGGGGATTGAACAATTAACTGAAATTCTGTGAATCATCCCTCACTCCCTGGATGTGGAGACATGAAGCTATGATCACACGATGCCAATATTCATGGCTCTATTTATTATCTCCTCCTCTGTCCATTTTGAAGGTCAACTTTCCTTCTGATGACCAGTAATTTCTGGCCATGTACTAAGTTATGAGCAATTTGAAGCTCTGCTTTCGGCAGAAAGACATTGTTTTTTAGAGAAACATGTCATTTCTCCACTTTGGTGCTTATGTTGTTTGGGATGGCTCAGCAATACAGTCTGTTGATGCTGGGCCAGTGAAGGAGGATAGGCTAAAGGCCAGTCTTAGGCCACTGTGAAGGGTTTTGATTTCACTGTATGTGCAAAGGAAAGGTTCAAGGACAAGAGTTTTATCACCTGTTTGCCTTTTTAAAAATTATTAAAGGTCGGCCCGGCGAGGTGGCTCACACCTATAATCCCAGCACTTCCGGAGGCCGAGGCGGGCAGATCACGAGGTCAGGAGATTGAGACCATCCTGGCTAACACAGTGAAACCCCGTCTCGGTCAGGAGATCGAGACCACCCTGGCTAACACAGTGAAACCCTGTCTCTACTAAAAATACAAAAAAAAAAAAAAAGAAATTAGCCGGGCATGGTGGCGGGCGCCTGTAGTCCCAGCTACTCAGGAGGCAGAGGCAGGAGAATGGCGTGAACCCAGGAAACGGAGCTTCCAGTGAGCCGAGATCGCACCACTGCACTCCAGCCTGGGTGACAAAGCGAGATTCCGTCTCAAAGAAAGAAAAAAAAATTAAAGGTCATATGTTAATTAATAGTTTCATTTTTAGGAGAGACATTAATTGATTGACACATGTTCAAAGGCAATGTCCAGAATGTGAAATTGAAGAAGGACTTCATGAATTTTACAAGTATAATCAAAGACCACCAACAATTTTTACTTTTTCCTTCAAAAGCTAAGTGTAGTGTAGCGCCCCCCGTAGTCTAAGCTGGAGAAGAATACTAACTGCCTGTTTTTCCTTCTGTGTCAGCGAGCCCTATCTGTACTCCCCAGTTTCACCCTCCCTGAGGCTCAGCGAGTTCCTGCTTCACCCCCCTAGCTCAGCTGCAAAGTTACAAGGTTGATACAGAAACATGGTTTCCCAGGGATGTGGAACATACAGTATAGATAAATGTAAAAGACTCATCAACTGCCTTCGTTCTCGATTCTGTAAGTACACTTCCTGCATCATGTAGCTCCCGGCCACCGACTACTTAAAAGGTGGCTGCTTTCTTTGTCCGGGGCTCAGACTTTCCTGGATGCTGGTCCTACTGAGCCAGGTGATCACCTTTTAATAAAGACCTTTCCTGAACTCACTCTGTTCGGTCTCTCCTGTCTTTGATTGTCCCGCAACAAAATAACTGTGAACTAGACACCCAAGAAAGAAGAGACAGCTGAGTGTGTCTGGTGGGGAGGGGGCTGTGATGGTAAGATGACTTCAGACGTGGAGGTGCCCATGAAACAGCCACATGGAGATGCCCAGCAGGCCTTTAGCAAAGTGGTCCGAACTTTGGAACAGAGGAGTTGAGCTGAAAGCCCAGCCCTGGGGGTGATAACCAAGGAGAGAAGCATTGGCCACCACAGGATTAAGTTTAATCGCCCCTAAAACCATGTGCTAAATAAGAAGAAAGGAAAAAAACAGGTTAAAGATAGAACCCTCAGGAAAGTCCATGTTTTAGTGGCAAATAGAGACAAAATGCCAAGAAAGGATACTGAGAAAGAACAAACAGGAGATAAAGGAAGAGAGTGTTGTCAAAACAAAATAGCCACTGAGGACAAGGCCCCATGCTAAGACCTTTACAACACACACCATCTCATTCAATCCTCACAATAGACCAAGAGCTCATGCCTGGAATCCCAGCACTTTGGGAGGCTGAGTTAGGCAGATCGCTTGAGCCCAGGAGTTTGAGACCACCTTTGGCAAAATACCAAAACCCCATCTCTACAAGAAAATACAAAAATAAGACAGGCGTGGTGGCACGTGCCTATAGTCCCAGCTACTAGGGAGACTGAGGCTGGAGGATCTCTTGAGCATGGGAGGTCCAAGCTGCAGTGAACCAAGATGGTGCCACTGCACTCCAGCCTGGGCAACAGAGGGAGACCCTGTCTCAAAAATCATCATCATCATCCCCGCAACAACTCTGACAGCAAGGTAGTATTTTGGTCCCCCAATTTATCCTTCAGGAAACCACAGAAAAGAAAGGTTAGGTTACTTGTCCACAAATACACAGCTAGTAAGAGGTCAAACTAGAATTTGAAACCAAGTTGTCTGACTACAAAGACTACACGTTAACCTCCTGTTGGATTAAAGAAAAATAAGAACTAAAAATTGTGCCTTGAATCTAGCATTCATAACAAAATGCTTGGAAAAAGCCAGGTTTCGGCTCACACAGTTGAGTTGGGGGCTGTGACTCCCGCCCCCGGCAAGCATGGCGCAGGACTCAGAAGGACAGCAGGCTCCATCCATCTCCATCAGCGATTCACAGCCTCCTGCCGTCCCCAGCACAAGCGTGAAGACGGAAAATTTCTCATTATGGATTACATTATCTTCTCAATAAAGCAAAAATTGCCCCCCAATATAGATCTTCCCAGACAAGTGAGTAAATGGACGAACTAAGAAAACATGTGTCCAGTCTATTATACAGAGCAAATGAATTTGATTTTAAAATGTGGAAAGCAAAAAATTGATTGTATCACTGACATTGGTCGTTTCTCGCTCTTACCCTTAACAATCTGGTCATCCACACGACACAGTAATTCCTACACTCTCAGGAAGAGTTTTCTGACAGGCAGCAAGAGATGAGCTCTAACTCCACCCCACAAAAGAAAACCAAGCTTGAAATAACTGAGCCAAGCCATCCCACAAGAACAGTTTCCTGCCATTTGAATGAAACTCTCCTTATAGAGAATAGATGATGTTCGTTGTTTGTCCTGGACTTCGAGGGATACTTAGCTTTGCCAGTCTCCTCCAGCAGAGGAAAAATCCAGTTATGGTGAAAATCAAAACAACGATAGCCCTCCTGAGGTTGTGGTGATGGGGATTAAGAGACTGGAGAGGCCGGGTACAGTGGCTCACGCCTGTAATCCCAGCACTGCGGGAGGCCGATGCGGGTGCATCACGAGGTCAGGAGTTCAAAACCAGCCTGGCCAAGATGGTGAAACCCCGTCTCTACCAAAAATACAAAAATTAGCTGGGCACGGTGGCGGGCGCCTGTAATCCCAGTTACTCGGAAGGCTGAGGCAGGAGAATCGCTTGAACCCGGGAGGTGGAGGCTGCAGTGAGCTGAGATCACGCCACTGCACTCTAGCCTGGGTGACAGAGCAAGACTCCATCTCAAAAAGAAAAAAAAGAAAAAAAAAAAGACTGGAGAACAGCCAGGGAGGCAGGAATGGAACCTCCTCTTTTCATGGCTGTCCTCAACACTGCAGCCCTTGCCTCACTTTGCAGCCAGCTGTGGGGAGCTGGGGAAGGCTGGTCCCACCTAGGGGTTGGGATATGGAGAGGAGCCCACTGGCCCTCGGGGACTCCAGCTTTAGAGGGCTCAGCTGTATACACAGAACTCTGCATTGATTGAATGCCCAGGGGGCTTTGGTGGAGGCCTTTACAAGTATGTGCCTCGGAGGGAAGAAACCGGACACTGGGAGTGAACCACCAACTCTGCTGCGGGTGAGGGTCAGGAAAGGCCACTGAAGCCGTGACACTGAGCTGAGTCTTGACAGATAAGTGTCCCCAAGCAGATCAAGGGGACCAGGCCACATTTAGGCAGAGGGAGGCGTGGAACAAAGCCTGAATGTGGCAAACACTCGGAAACACTAGTCAGTGGTCACTCGCCAACCTCAGCATGCAGCCAAGTCACCCGTGGAACCTGATTCAAATGAAAGGGCTGGTTCTCCAGCCCAACCAAGAAAAAAATTCCAGTTCCCTAGGTCTGGAGAGGGGTTTGGGAGTATGCATGTTTAACTACCATCCCAGGTAATGTTTATGCAGGTGGTCCCCAGAAGGAGCTGAGGAACATCACTTACTGGATGTACGGGCTGGCTCCCAAAGGAAGAAGGCGGAGGCATGAAATAAGCAAAGAGAGATAAACAGGACCTTTTATTCCTGGAGGCTGAGAGAACAGGGGACAGACTGCCTTTTAGAAAGACCACTCTGAACAGTGGCAGCCTCTCCCACCAAAATATCAGCCCTTGGGGGTCTGTTTTTGCTGCCACTGTCTTGCTACCTGAGTGTTCAGCACATAGTGGGTACACAGAAATTATTTCTGGAATGAATGAATGAGTGAGTGAATGGATGTTCTTTGTTTTGGTTTTTTTTTTTTTTGAGACGGAGTCTCGCTCTGTTGCCCAGGCTGGAGTGCAGTGGCGCGATCTCGGCTCACTGCAAGCTCTGCCTCCCGGGTTCGCGCCATTCTCTTGCCTCAGCCTCCCGAGTAGCTGGGACTACAGGTGCCCGCCACCACGCCCGGTAATTTCTTGTATTTTTTTAGTAGAGATGTGGTTTCATCATGTTAGCCAGGGTGGTCTTGATCTCCTGACCTCGTGATCCAGCCGCCTCAGCCTCTCAAAGTGCTGGGATTACAGGCGTGAGCAACCGCGCCCGGCCAAGTGAGTGAATGGATGAATAAATCAGTGAATAGTGGCAGGATAGAGGATGGAAGAAGGGTGGGGGGCTCTTACTGCAGCCCTGAGTGTAGGTAAGGACCTTTCTACGCCAGGGGAATGGGGCTAGAAAGAAGAGGCAGAATTTGCCATCATCTGGTATATTCGAGGCCATACAGGCCTCACAGTGCTTCTTGGAGGTGTTTCTGTATTTCTGACATGTTCAGAAATGTCTACAAGACTAAAGCAGTCGTGAGATATAATCAGGATTGAAATGTATTCCAAAGCTTGTCCCCCGCCCTGCCCCAGCCCTGGGAAATATTATTCTTCAAGCACAGACAGCTGGGCAGTGGGATGCGGACTCCGCATTCTCCAGACCAGAACACACCCAGGCCAGGTGGACACATTTGCGGCTCCTTCCAGCCAGAGGTTTCATTCTGGGTTTGGCAGTCATTTTGGGGTTTCTGTGTCCTAGAGATGTTGAACTCTGTACTTAATCTAGGTTTAATAGGCAGCTATTATGTTAAATAGAGACCAGCTGAACTGATTATTTAAGACATAGTTATGGTCATTTAACAACTATGTGGTTTGACTGCTACATCTCAAGAAAGGTTTTCCAGCCCCTGGCTATGATTACCATTTTGGTAACTGTCCTCACCTAGCCGCTGCTTGCCTGAGGGCCCGGAAGCTCCCCACTCTGCCTCTTTCCCTGGTCCCCTGACTGGTCTCTTTGCCGAGTGTCGGAGCGTCCATGGAGGTCAGGGAACTGGAGCTGAGGCTACGCATGGCTGTGCAGGAGGGCGTGGCCCTGCAGGCAGGGTGCCTGCCAAGCACCTGTCCACAAGGCTCTGGATTTGTCTCTCAATGGGAGCCTGGCTTTGCTGGAGAGCTCAGAAGCCACAGCTGAGCCCAGGAGGGGACGAAGTCACTTGGAACCCCTCTAGAAGAAAAGAGTCTGTGTGTAAGAAAGAAACTGGAAGAAAACTATAGGGGTACAAATTCGCTAGAAGTTTCCCTAGTGCAAGGTTACTTAAAGGAACATTGGACCAGTGCTGCTGCGACCTGTTCTAACTGGCCCACAAATTGAGGATAAGAATTCAGGAACTTGCATAGCACTTTCAAATTGCCACAGTACCTAAGCATCCCATCAACGTGCCCAGCTCATTGAACAGGGTGTAGACCAGTTTGCGCATTGAACTCCCAGCAGAGGCCCTCCTAGCTGCAACTAGTCATGTGTGAGGACCATAGAACTGTCCACCAAGGACTGGAAGTGTTAAAGCTGGTCTTCGAGCTCAGATGCTTTAAGAACCACGGCTTGGGTCGGGGGAGGGGGGAGGGATAGAATTAGGAGAAATACCTAATGTAAATGACGAGCGAATGGGTGCAGCACACCAACATGGTACATGTATACATATGTAACAAACCTGCACGTTGTGCACATGTACTCTAGAACTTAAAGTATAAAAAAAAAAAAAAAAAAAACACCACGGCTTGAGTGCAGGATCTCTCACCTCATTTGTTTCCCCACCCGGCCTGTGCCCTTTGAGCACATAGCAGGACTTTTTAAATCTTCCTTATGTACGTTTAGAAATGCTTATAATGGGCCGGGCGCGGTGGCTCATGCCTGTAATCCCAGCACTTTGGGAGGCCAAGGTGGGTAGATCACGATCGGGAGATAGAGACCATCCTGGCTAACACGGTGAAACCCTGTCTCTACTAAAAATACAAAAAATTGGCCGGATGTGGTGGCGGGCCCCTGTAGTCCCAGCTACTCAGGAGGCTGAGGCAGGAGAATGGCGTGAACCCAGAAGGCGGAGCTTGCAGTGAGCCGAGATCGCACCATTGCACTCCAGCCTGGGCGACAGAGCAAGACTCTGTCTCAAAAAAAAAAAAAAAGAAATGCTTATAATCGGCCAGGCACAGTGGCTCACACCTGTAATGCCAGCACTTTGGGAGGCTGAGGTGGGCAGAGCAACTGAGGTCAGGAGTTCAAGACCAGCCTGGCCAACATTGTGAAACCCCATCTCTACTAAAAATACAAAATCTCTACTAAAAATACGAAAAATACAAGCACTGATCTGAAGCACTTGTACTTTTATATTAAATCACTTAGACCTATGAGGTGGATATACTTCTAATCCCATTGTGCAGATGATAAAACCAAAACAGAGAAAAGTTAAGTAACTTGCCTAAGTCAATATAACTAGCTGGTAAATGGTGGGTCTAGGGTGCAAACCTAGCTAGTCCGGCTCCAGAGTTTGCCCAGAGTCAGTTGGTCACACTCTGTACTTCTCAACATCCTATTTGTGCCACAATGCCTTTCTTTATTGTTCAAGCCTGCTCTAAATGAATGTTCTTTACTTGCAGCCCAAAACATTCTAATTAATATGTGGTATCAATAAATATTCATAATTTGCCCTCTCATTCCCTATTATCTGTTTTATCTACTTTCTCTCACTAAAAGATCGTATCATTTTCTTTTTTAGATCTTGAGTCCATAATCAGTCCTGTCTAGATGCTTTGTGTGCCCATCCAGAGCAGTTGTTCTCAACAAGGGCAGAAACTCATAACAAGGGACATACTAGAAATGTGGGAGTTTTTTCATTGTCATAATGATGAAAGAAGGTGTATTAGACCATTCCTGCATTGCTATAAAGAAATACCTAAGACTAGCCAGGCGCGGTGGCTCACGCCTGTAATCCCAGCACTTTGGGAGGCCGAGGAGGGCGGATCACGAGGTCAGGAGATTGAGACCATCCTGGCTAACATAGTGAAACCCCGTCTCTACTAAAAATACAAAAAAAATTAGCCAGGCATGGTGGTGGGCGCCTGTAGTCCCAGCTACTCGAGAGGCTGAGACAGGAGGATTGCGTGAACCTGGGAAACGGAGCTTGCAGTGAGCCGAGATTGCGCCACTGCACTCCAGCCTGGGAGACAGAGCGAGACTCCGTCTCAAAAAAAAAAAAAAAAAAGAAATACCTAAGACTAGGTAATTTATAGAGAAAAGAATTTTAATTGGCTCATGGTTCTGCAGGCTGTACAGGAATCATATTAGCTTCTGCTTCTGGGGAGACTTCAGGAAGCTTCCAGTCATGGTGGAAGGCAAAGGGGGAGCTTTCTTCTCACATGGCTGGAGCAGGAGCAAGAGAGAGAGATGGGGGAGACGCCACACCCTTCTAAACGACCAGATTCCGTGAGAACTCACTCACTGTTGCGGAGAATAGCACAGAGGAGATGGTGCTAAGCCATTCATGAGAAATCCACCCTCATGGTCCAATCACCTCCCACCAGGCCCCACCTACAACACTGGGGATGACAACTGAACATGAGGTTTGGATGGGGACACAGATCCAAACCATATCAGGGCCACAGGGCTAATGGCATTTAGCGGCCAGGAGACAGAGATGTCACATGTCTTCATGGACAAACTGTTCTGCACAACTTTCAAGTGTACTTACAGACATGACACGGGTTAAAAATAATTGCTTATAGGCCAGGTGTGGTGGCTCATGCCTGTAATCCCAGCACTCCAGGAGGCCAAGGCAAGCAGATCATCTGAGGTCAGAAGTTCGAGACCAGCCTGGCCAACATGGTGAAACCTCATCTCTACTAAAAATACAAAAAATTAGCTGGGTGTAAGCAGCAGAAATTAATTTTTCACAACTCTAGAGGCTGGGAAGTCCAAGATCAAGGCACCGGCAAACTCAGTGTCTTGTGGGGTTTAGGGTCAGCTTTCTGGTTCATAGATGGTGTCTTCTTGCTGCATCCTCATGTAGTAGAAGGGGTAAGGCAGCTCCCTGGAGCCTCTTTCATAAGGCACTAATCTCATTCATGACGGCTATTGCCCTTGTGACCTAATCACCTTCCAAAGGCCCCACTGCCTAATACCATTACTTTGGGGATTAGTTTCAACATGTGAATTTGGGGGAGATGCAAGCATTCAGTCCACAGCTGTCTTTCTCCTTGTAGGCACATCTTGGTCACCTTTATATCCCCAGCCCCTCGAATGTGGCCTGGCTCACCAGTGTTTATAGAATGATTTGCTCCCTCAGGAAGACACATAATTTGAAGATGCTCCACCTACATGGCTTTCCTATTCTGTACATTAACAATGTATGACTTCTTTGTTTATCCAGGATGTCGTATATTCCTTCCCTAGAAGTAGCTTCAGCTTGGGAATTATGAGTCAGCTGTGCCTTTATAAAACAACCCAGGAAACCCGGACAGTAGAAGGAGTGATGAGAAACTGCAGGGAGGAGGCAACACTCTTCGTAGCCTACTCAGATTGGTTCCTTAGAGATTTTCTGACATAGGACTGGAAGTTTTGTGTGACTGTGAGCTTTTCCACTTAGGGACTACGCATTGCTGTTTCCTGTAGGACTTTGCTTATTGGAATTTCAGGATTCACTCGGAATACACAGAAAGCAGATTCTTCCTTTTGTGCACACACCACCACGAGAATCCTTCTTGGAGCTCGGCTGGGAGAACCCCCTGGTTTCCAGTGTGGCCCAGCCCTGTGACCGGTGTGTCAAGTGCCCCCGCTCCATAAGGCCGACTTTATACCCTTGGAGGAAGCTGGAATATCTCTAAGAATTAAAATAAAAAAACCTGGAGCGAATGACAGAGGGAAAGGGGCAGATCTGAATATGTCTGCTTCCAAAACAGAGGGCACAAGGAGGAGATGACTTCCTCCTGAGCTCTTTAAATTATATTTTACAGTCAGAAATTCATTTTTAATCCTGACTCAGTGCATAAACACACATATTGTGATGGTCAGTTTTATGTGTCAACATGGCTGGGCTACTGCCCAGCCATTTGGTCAAACACTACGCTGGGTGTAGCTGGGAAGGTATTCTGGAGATGTGATATAAAGTCTATAGTGAGTTGACTTTCAGTAAAGAAGATTATCCTAGATAATATGGGCAGGCCTGGTGGAATCAGTTGAAAGGTCTTAAGAGCAGAATAGAGGCTTCCCTGAAATAGAAGAAATTCTCCCTGGGGATAGCATCAACTTGTGCTGGAAAGTTTCTGCTGCCCTTCCTTCCTGCCCTGTGGACTTTGGACTTGACTGGCCAATCCCAGAATAAGGCAAGCCAATTCCTTGCTGTAAATTTTTTTGGAGATGCACACATACATATTTTTTAAGATAGAAAGAGTTTTAGGCTGGGCATGCTGGCTCACACCTTTAATCCCAGTACTTTGGGAGGCCGACACAGGCGGATCACTTGAGGTCAGGAGTTCAAGACCAGCCTGGCCAACATGGTGAAACCCCATCTATACTAAAAATACAAAAATCAGCCAGGCATGGTAGCACACACCTGTAATCCCAGCTACTTGGGAGGCTGAGGCAGAAGAATCGTTTGAACCCGGGAGGTGGAGGTTGCAGTGAGCCGAGATCATGCCACTGCACTCCAGCCTGGGCAACAGAGAGAGACTCCACCTCAAAAAAAAAAAAAAGTTTTATATATGATTATTTATTCATTTATATTTCCTACTGGTTCTGTTTCCCTGGTGGAACCTTAACTGATACACATACAACTAGCAAAAGATGCTCCAGACAATATTAACCTTTCCTATGTACAACAAACTTCTATATAGTCAATGCGGCACAGTCCTCTAAATCAGTTTTTTTCCCTAGTAAAGGGTTATCAGCTGCAGTTTAAAAAGCATACAGTGATAGTGAAACTTCTCACACACACTCCACTGGGAGGTCTGAGCATGAAACAAGTCTGCATGGACACCCTTCTAAGTGGAATCCTTGCGGGACAGCGCACCCCGACTGTACCTAATGGCCCTGCCCATGTGCTGCTGAGCAAGTGTTTCTAGGCCAGATCCTGGAGGAATTTGGACGACTGCCCTCAGAAGAGGGGGAGAGGAAGGGTGTCAGAGCAGTAACCCCGGGGTCCTCCAAGAGACACAGAGAGGAAGGTGGAGGCATTGATGGGCTCCCCAGGAGGCCAGAGCACTGGAGGACAGGCTGTTCCTTTCCAGGAGCAGAGAACAAGCCAAGAAAACTCTTGGCAGAAACCCAGCTGGAGACAGCATCATGGAGCAATGGGACAAGGTTTTGGCAGTGAGAACAATGTGGTTTTCATCGTTTTGAGACAGTAACTCAAAAGGACCTCACCTGCTGGGTTGATGGACTCAGGGCAAGCAACTTCGGTGGATCGCATGCACCCACAATGGGGGTGACTATCCTAAGAACATTTATGGGAAAAGAAAGCTGATGGCTTTAGTTTACCATGAGCTCAATCTGAACCAATCATGTTTTTTTTTTAAAAAAAAGGAAAAAAAACCTCTCATTAAATACCACGAATAACAAAAACCTATTGTATCACCAGGTTCAATTGCAAATAGCATGAAACACTCTACCTAGTTTACACAGAAAAGGACTTAATACAGTGACCTACGTCCTTGCAAAGCTGATGGAATGGCTGTAGAGTAGGCTCAGAGCTAAGCTTCCAGGAATGACTCCCAAATGACAAGCTGCTGCCTTGGTCCTGATTGAGAAGCCAGGTAATGAGGAGGTCGCTGTCTCACCTGCTGGCACCAGGGCCACCAGACAGCCTGCTCTAACTCCCTCACCTCCCCACTGCTGGGACCTCTGCTGCGGTTGTCACAGGAAAACCCAACACTTCCTCGAGCACACAGAAGCAGTGGAAACAGTGTCACTTAATGCTGTTCACCCTCTCCTTCCACATCTCATGAGACACGTCTTCTTGGGGGAAGCCAGGCCACAGACTAGAGACAAAGATGCAAGGGATTGTGGGAAGTGGAGGCTGCAGTCTCCAGTGGGGAGCACGGCAGGTCTCTCTGCAGGATGTGTCCCACCCCCTCTTCCCACTTGCACACCTAGGAACACAGAGAAAGCAAGCAAACCAGCCAAAACACCCAGACACTCATAGCACTGAAAGTTTGGTACTCACAGCTGACCTGCTAAAATCTTGGAATAAATGTAAGAAACCACTTTATTTTTATCCCTGAACCTTTTCTCTACCCACCTGCTCATCACCAGCATAGAGTTTAATGCCTTTAAAGGAAGACTGCCTAGGTTTGAATCCTGGTCTCGCCATTTATAGCTGTGTGACCTTGAAAAAATTATTAACCTCGCTGTGCCTCGGTTCCTTTTCTGGGGGAAAGAAAAGTGAACTGCATAGAAAAAAAAAGATAATTTCACCGACCTACATAAGTGAGTTAATACATACAAAACTCTTAGCATGGTGCCCAGCATGTAGTAACACTAATTGTTAGCTATCGCTGTGACAAATTCTATGCCCATTCAAGACTGGAACTCACAGTCACTAAAGGGCAGGAATTAATGTCAGACTGGTATGAGAAGGTGGTGGCAACAATATTAGCATTGCCATGCAAAGGACACACATACCTGTATCATGAGACAGCGTAGATTGGTGGTTAGCAGAGGCTGGAAGGGGAGGAGGAAGGAGGCATGAAGGGAGAGAAAGAATATGAATGTATTAGTCACCACTGAACTGTAGGCTTAAAAATGGTAAAGACGGTAAATTTTTAAAAAAAATTATAAAAAAATTATTTGGGATTATGTTGCATTTACAAACCAATCTGGTACAAATCATATCTTTATATGAGTCATCCTCATTTTTTAAAAAAGTTGGGTTTATGGGGAAAACTTATGAGCAGAGAAGTGGGAGAGCACATGGAATCCTGTGAACTGTCATTGTCCCCAGCTCAGGCCAGCTGTGGCTGGACTGAAGGCCCCACGGCCAAAGCTTCAGGCAAGAAGAAAACGTCCCCGTTAAGCTGCACATTTTATGAGGCCATGGGGCAGCTACAGACACATGATTATGTAACAAATGAAGCTCTTGACCAGGATAGAAGAGGCAGCCCTAAAATTTAAAGGTTGGCACCAGCCGGTTCTGCCAATGATCTAACTCGGACCTGCTGAGCCAGCCCATGACTCTGCTGCCGAAAGGGAGAAGGAAGTAAGCTGTCTGCCTCTCAGCCCGTTCCCTGGCTCGTGGGGGATATTAACTACAAGTTCCTCCATAGGCTCCTGCTGACACCAGGATTAATGGTTTCCAAAGCATTCCATCACATCCGGGAGGGAGGTGCCGATAGGGCCCCCTCACTTATGTCGGATGGAAGGTGGACATGTCTAACATCATGAGCAGTTTGGGCAGAGCATATTCATAAGTGGAAAAAGAAGAGTTATTCATACATCCCCTCTGCCCTTTAACCTCTTCCCCCGGGACAGACATGTCCACATCTTTCCAGCTGAGGTCTCTCTCCCCCCTGTGGGGCTGAGCCAGATAGTCTCTCCTTTCTCCAGGGTGAGGACTTCCACAAGGATCCAGGTGCCAGCATTTGTCATGGTAAGTGATGTTGGGGGCAGAAGAGGGGGCTAGAAAACAACTCAAAGCAAAGTCAGGATCCAAGTTCATGTCTATTCAGAAATCCTCAATCTGAGCACTATGAACCAGCACATGACATAACATGAATTTCCATCAATCCAGAGAACAAAGTGTGTACAAAAAGGAGAGAGAGAGAGAGAAGGAAATGGTTTTATTTATTTATTTATTGAGATGGAGTCTTGCTTTGTTGCCCAGGCTGGAGTGTAGTGCCGTGATCTCGGCTCACTGCAACCCCCGCCTCCCGGGTTCCAGCGATTCTCCTGCGTCAGCCTCCTAAGCAGCTGGTATTACAGGGGCCTGCCACCATGCCTGACTAATTTTTGTAGAGATGGGGTTTTGCCATGTTGGCCAGGCTGTTCTCGAACTCCTGACCTCAAGTGATCCACCCACCTTGGCCTCCCAAAGTGCTAGGATTATAGGCGTGAGCCACCGCGCCCAACAAAATGATTCCTCTTTCAATATGTCCAGCTCAAAAGAAAGGAGAGGAGTAGACTGCTGCTCCTCATGTTCTCTTTGTTCCCCATCTCTGCCTCCTGGGTGCCAAGGAGCTCAGACAGACAGACAGACAGACAGGCAGACAGGGCGAGGCTATGCAGAACTCATAAATAGCTGAAGCCAGTCTGACCAGCAAGCCCTGTATAAGTTGTCACTGGAGACACAAATTACTAAGTTTGTCTCAAAGAGAAGCACAAAGGCTAGGCACAGTGGCTCACACCTGTAATCCCAGCACTTTGGGAGGCCGAGGCGGTCAGATCACCTGAGGTCAGGAGTTGGAGACCAGCCTGGCCGATAGGGCGAAACCCCATCTCTACTAAAAATACAAAAATTAGCCAGGTGTGGTGGCGCACCTGTAACCCCAGCTACTTGGGAGGCTGAGGCAGGAGAATTGCTTGAACCCGGGAGGCAAGGGTTGCAGCGAGCTGAGATCGCGCCACTGCACTCCAGCCTGGGCAACAGAGTGAGACTCTGTCTCAAAAAAAAAAAAAAAAAAAAGGAGAGAAGCACAAAAATTTGTGTTGACTAACAGGAATGAAAGAAAGCAAACCAGGTTTAAAGAACTGCCTCCCCTGAAAAAGGCTTTTGAGTCAGATTGTTGCCACAGCACATTCTTTCAAATGTTCATGGAACAGATTATTCTCATATTATAAAAACTGTTCCAAAGTGTGGAAAAAGATGGAATACAATCCAGTCTATTTTATCAATCTAGCGCAGTACTAATAACAAAACATTAAAAAGGACATAGCAAAAAAAAGAATAAATCCATCTCAATAACAGGCTACAAAGATCCTAATTAAATTCTAATTAAGTCCTAGCACTCTGAATTTGATGGCTCCCCAAAAGACACTGACAGCTTTAATGAGACACAGTGGGCTGCATGGGCTCCTGCCATTTGCCACAGCGAGAATGCATGTGTTTCCTCTGGGCGCAACGACACCTGTGAGGGTGGCTGGGATCTTTCCCTAGGTGGCAGCCCACTGGGCAGGGAAACCCCAGCAGCAGGAGGACAGATCTGAGGCTATAGGAGAGTTGTCAAGAGAGTCAAAAAATCACTTGGCTCTTGTAAATAATGCTGCAATCAACGTGGGAGTGTAGATATCTATGATTTGATACTGATTTCAATTCCTTTGGATATATACCCAGAAGTGGGGTTGCTGGATCCTATGGTAGTTCTGGTTTTTTGAGGAACCTCCATACTCTTTTCCATAGTGGCTTTACTAATTTACATTCCCACCAACAGTGGGCAAGGGTTCCCGTTTCTCCACATCCTCAACAACACTTATCTTTTGTCTTTAGATAAAAGAATCAACCTAAGTGTCCATCAGAGGACTGGATTTTTAAAATGTGGTATATATTCACAATGGAATACTATTCAGCCATTAAAAAGAAGAACGTTTTGTCATTTGCAACAACATGGATGAAACTGGAGGATATTATGCAAAGTAAAATAAGCCAGGCAAAGAAGGACAAATACTGCATGATGTCACTGATATGTGGAATGTGAAAAAGTTGAACTCATAGAAGTAGAGAGTATAATGCTTACCAGGGGCTGGAGGGGCAGGGTGGGAACGGGGAGATGTTGGTCAAAGAGTACAAAGTTTCCGTTAGACAGAAGGGGCTTTAGAGATGGATTGCACAGCAGGGTGACTATAGTTAATGATATGGTTTGGCTGTGTCCCCACCCAAATCTCGTCTTGAATTGTAGCTCCCACAATTCCCATATGTTGTGGGAGGGAGCTGGTGGGAGGTCATTGAATCATGGGGGCAGGTCTTTCCTGTGAGTCTCATGAGATCTGATGGTTTTATAAAGGAGAGT
The DNA here is from genome assembly GCF_000001405.40 of Homo sapiens. Lineage (NCBI taxonomy): Eukaryota > Metazoa > Chordata > Mammalia > Primates > Hominidae > Homo > Homo sapiens. The sequence goes on along the minus strand of NC_000015.10, from coordinate 93,148,387 downwards.
TTCCCTGCACGAGCCCTCTTCTCTTGTCTTCCACCATGTGAGACGTGCCTTTCACCTTCCGCCATAATTGTGAGGCCTCCCCAGTCACGTGGAACTATGAGTCCCTTAAACCTCTTTCTTTTGTAAATTGCCCAGTCTCAAGTATGTCTTTATCAGCAGCATGAAAACAGACTAATACAGTTAATCATGTGTTGTAAATTTCAAAATTGCCCAAATAGTAGATTTTAAATGTTCTTACCACATTGATGTGATGGATATGTTCATTAGTATGATTTAATTATTCCACAATGTATACAGGTACCAAAACATCACTTATAACCCACAAATACGTATAATTATTATTAAAAATAATTTTTTACATAAAGGTCCTGCAGAACTAGAACTTTATCTAGAATATTGGGGAATGGCACCTGGGGAGCTCTGCAGCTCTCCTCAACTAACCCATTTAGCCCTATGTGCCTCACGAGATCCCCAACCTTCGCAGGCCTGGCACACAGGGGGCTCCGACACCCAGGGAGAAAAGAAGGTGACAGCATCGAGGGAACACAGGAAAGTCCTCACTCTTCCCTCCCTGCTGTGGCCCCAACATGCTGGAGGGGCTGCCTTCCAGGGAGGGGTTGGCCAGCGGGCCTGTCTTCCAGGCCAGAGGTCCCAGATCCAGTCTCTGCAGAGGAGGGCGAGGAGGTGCGGTTTAAATTGAGTTTGAGACTGAAGCATTGCACTGGGCTGAATTTGAATAACTCAGGGGACCTGGAGTGCTACAGGACTGGGATGCCGTTGCAGGTTCAGCAACCTGGCGGACAGCACTGCCCAATGAACTGGGTGTATTTTTCTTCTTTGAATTTTATTACCCAATTTTCTCCAAGCATATATTACTTTTATAAATACAGGCAGGCACGGTGGCTCATGCCTGTAATCTCAACATTTTGGGAGGCCAAGACGGGTGGATCACCTGAGGTCTGGAGTTCCAGACCTGCCTGGCCAACATGGCGAAACTCTGTCTCTACTAAAAATACAAAAAAAAAAAAAAAAAAAAAAATTAGCTGGGCGTGGTGGCAGGCACCTGTAATCCCAGCTACTTGGGAGGCTGTGGTGGGAGAATTGCTTGAACCTGGGAGGCGGAGGTTGCAGTGAGCGGAGATCATGCCATTGCACTGCAGCCTGGGCGACAGAGCGAGACTCCATCTGAAAAAAATAAAAATAAATAAATAGGAAGAAAAGATTGTATCTGAGACTGTGGGCTCTGTGGAAAGGAAAAGTTTTCCATTTAAAGAATGTATGAAGAAGGCTGTGCTATTTGACCTAAGGAAGAAGAAAGGGAATTTATCACATATTTAAAAGGGTATCCTTTATAACCATCAACTCCACAAAAACATAAACTCTAAATAATAATCCTTGTGACAAAGGATAGGCTTGTTACATGATCTTGAAAATGCCAGGATAAGGGTCTGAGGGCCACTGATTTGTAACCTCAGGGAGACAGATTTCTGTTCCATGTGAGGACAGTTTTCCTTCATCGCAGGATGAGACAGCATCAGCTGTCTGCCCATGTGCCACACTGGCTGCGTTACCAGATTCTGGGGAGCAGCCTTAGTGGCCCATACAGCTCCAATGTTCTAGAATTCCTTGCTTGCCAGGGCTAGCCTAGAGCTTGCTATTTAATGCTGAGTCCAGCCAAGAAGCGGTGGCCAGTAGCTGGTATCATCCGTAAATACTGTGAATCTAAGGTTGTCTCACCCTCAAATACCTGAGGCTGTACACTCGGCATGGCTCACTGTGGATATGCTGTCCTAAAAAGCTTACTCGAGGTGGTAGGGGCAGGCGGAGGATGGGTGCAAGGCAGTGGAACCCAGGCTTGGGAAAGCAAACTTCCCCTTCTCCCCAGGGAGAGGCGGCGGAGCCAGCTAGTGTGCCCATGGCTGGAGACAATCCCAAACCCAGTGGTACTGGGAACACTGCCCTCTGAAGTCAATTAAGGACATAGTGCCTCTTGGAGTAGCCCCTGGGCAGAGCCGGATGCCCAGGGATCCTTCCTTCATCAGCAGTGAGGAAACAAGCGCCCTAAGCCAACGCTCAAAGCCCTCAACAATCAGCTCTTGGCAAAGCCTGGCCATCTTCCAACAAAAAGACAAGGGACCTGGTGGCAATGAGTATGACCTCACTCCCAAGCACCATCTCCCCAGGCTTCCAGCTTTCCAACTTCTCCAAGTAAGTCTTTCACCAGAGGCCACTTTTGCCCAGGTGACACTTGATTACAAAGGTCACACACAGGGAGAGAGGGCGCAACTTTCTCTGCCTCTGTTCTTTACAATAAGGTGGGGAGATCATTTCAGGAAGCCAGGAAGTTAGGCTTCACATTTGCCGTGAAAGTGATGAGTTTGGTTAGCCTGATGTTGCCAGAATGTGCTATTCATTCTATGCGTTTTCGGCTGCACAGACTTCACTAAAGTAATAAAAGTATTAGGTAGAGTATCAGGAGAAATTGAGTCACCACATTCTCTGAGTTAGAGAGTTACAGAGAGATTACCCCTTAAGGCAGCAGTTAGGATGATATGCTGACTCCTTGACAGGCATGAGAAACCCCGCCCACCCCAGCTGCTGCCCCAGCCTCCCCATCATTCCTCCAGCCACCTGCAACCCCAGTCCTCCAATAACCCTGTGTCTTTGCTTGGGCCCAGAGGCCCGTCTCCCTTCCTGTTCTTTGAATCATCCTTCTAGAATCCCCTAGTTTTCCCGAACTCTTCCCTGCCCACCCAAGTCACGTCTTGCTGCTCGCTGTGTCCTCTCGTGATGGCCTGGGCATGCCTCCCTCACAGCACGCCGGACACTCCATCACCACTGCCCACCTGCCACTAGGCTGTGTGCATCTTGGGGGTGGGACTTCTGTCTTCTCAACTCTGAGTCTCCAGCACTGTGCCCAGCACAAGCAGGTGCTCAGCCAGTGCTGGCTGAATGACTGAAGAAAGGAACCACAGCATCCTAGAGGTGTTCCCTTTTTAAAATGCATGCAACGGACAGTATTGTGAAGCCAAAGTGACTGCGTTTGGGCACTGCTTAAAACCTCGATCTCTCTCTCCTTTCTGTCATTCACTAAAGCCCCATACATCAATCAAGGTGGACATGATTGTTGTGCACTTTGGTTAATTGTAAAACCGATCAGTTCCAATAAATAGCTGGCATTTTACTTAAAGTCCACTGGTTTTAAAAGTGTGTGTGATGTGGTTTCCTGATGGGCAAAGAACTTCGGGGAAATATTTATTGTGCTCATGGATGACATTCTAGCTATTGTCCATGTTCCTTTTTATGGAGCTGTAAAGATGCCTTTTTACGGTCAGGCCGGCTGACATCTTCATCCACTCCTCTAATGCACACATTCACTGGAGGATCTTTGTACCAATGAGGAACATTCAGCCACGTTCAACAAAGGTTTATTGAGTGCTTGCTCTGAGCAGGGCACTGAGTAATGGGATCTGTCTCCAAAGCTTTCAAATCTGCTAAAAATATTCTCCATTTCACAAGCAGTTGGGACAAAAAAAAAATATTTTGCTCGAGTCTCTCCTCTGGGGCCCACTGAGTAAAAATGCACCTAGAGTTGCCCAGGGAAATAAAACCTCCCTTCACGGACCTTCCAGATCTCCTGAAAGGTTTCGTCTCCAGCTGGCTGGAGAGAGCTTGCTCATTAAATTCAGCACACAAGCTCTGTCTCTAAGCAGCTGAGTTTCAGGACTTGCTGCAATCCATCAACCCTAGGAACTTGCCCAAGACCAGTTCCAGAGATGGGAAGAAGCACACATGACCATGGCTCCTCATCCTTCCCTCTTCAAAATCCTGAGGAGCCTTCAACATAGAGGGAACAACACCGGCTTCTTCATCTCCAAGTGGGAATAACACTGCCTTACCTCCCAGAAACGTGATGAAAGTTAAAGGTAATCTATTTCAGCGTCTAGCATAGTGCCAAGTATCTAGTAGACGTCCAAAAACAGGCTCATCTATTTGCATTTCTTTTTTTTTTTTTTTTTTTTGAGAAGGAGTCTTGCTCTGTCGCCCAGGCTGGTGTGCAGTGGCGCGATCTTGGCTAGCTGCAAGCTCCACCTCCCGGGTTCACACCATTCTCCTGCCTCAGCCTCCCGAGTAGCTGGGACTACAGGTGCCCACCACCACGCCTGGCTAATTTTGTTTTTGTATATTTAATAGAGACGGGGTTTCACTGTGTTAGCCAGGGTGGTCTCTTACCTTTTGACCTCGTGATCCGCCTGCCTTGGCCTCCCAAAGTGCTGAGATTACAGGTGTGAGCCACCACGCCCGGCCATCTATTTGCATTTCTTCTGGCCAAACAGGACACCCTGGCTACTGTGCAGATGTGGCAGAAGAGATAGACAAGAGGGGACAGGGAGGCAAGGAGCACATGAGAAGGAGACACCACTGGCCTCAGTGACAGGCCAGGCATGGCGGGGAGGGAAAAGCAAGAGTCAATGATGGTGCCAAGGCTTCTAGCCCAGTGACCACATGGTGGTGACATCATGGACTATGGCCTGGGGAAAGACAGACGCGCTTTGAGAGCTCTTTGCTGTGGTTTTTATCCTACTCCACCCCTTCTTCACTCATCAAACTCTGCTCCCCGTACAGCCCCAGTGCTTCCTCCTCCAGGCAGCCTTCCTTGGGATCAGAGGGAGAAGCAATCCCTTTCTCCTTTCATGTTTTGTCACATCATTCATAATCATGGACTCCCTTCCCTCTCCATTAGGTAGGAGTGATTCCCCAGGTGCCTGGGACGAGCAGACAGAAGACAGATGGGGCTGAAAAGTCGTGAACGAACAAATCCCACCCATCAACACCCCAGCAGGAAACAATCCAATACAGGTGGTTCAAATGGAGAGAGTTTCAGAGGTGCGGGCAGGATGGAAGGATCAGAGGTAGGCCCAGAGACGCACACCTGACCCCGTGGACTTGCTAGTGTGCCGATGGTCCTGGCTGCCAAGGGATGGCTGGGATGTACTACGCACACAAGGTGGACGGGGCCACCACTAGCAAACGCTGAGTAGGGCACTGTAGAGATTAGAGGAGGGGGCGAGTGTGAGAGGCTCAGAGGTGGAATGAACACACCTAAAAGCGTCACTCGAATGTGGGAGTGGGGACAGCTATGATGGCACCAATGACCAAGGCAGCAAGCACAGAGGAGGATGGCATCTGGAGCGAGAGCTGAGTGAGGGGCCTGCGTTTCCTCCAGGTGATGCAACCAGGAGGTAGATGGCTTCTATGCCAGAGGCCCGGGCTGGGAGACAATCCTGGAGGCAGCAGGGGATGGGTGGCAGGGGATCTTCCAGGGAAAGCCCAGACAGGAATGAGCAGTGAAAAATGAGGCGAATCCCTGAGCACACCTTTAAAAGAAGGCAAGGCGTGCCACAGGGCATTGAGCAGAACAACTGGAGAGAGGGAGCACGAAAAAGCCAAAGGAGGAAGAGATCAGTAGCATGAAATGTTCCTGAAAGAACAAGTGGCATGAGGAGGATGGGAGCAGAAGGGACATCCCACGCAGGCCTCAGGAGGCTATTGGCTCCATTGCAGGATATATAGGCAGACACCCGACTCTGGTGAGTGACAGTGAGACTGGCCGTAACTGCAGCGCTGGGATAGGCACGATTGGGAACCTAGACATGCATCCATGAGGGATGTGTTAGTAAGTTCCACTGTGGAGGAATCTTAAATCAACGGAACAATGTGTAGACATTAACTATAATGAAGTAGGTCTATATATGCTGGTTGGAAAGAACTCATTACATGAAAAGACAAATTGCAGGACAAATGGATATAATATATGGATATGATCCAAATATGTCTAATGTAGAGAGATAAATACAAGAGGTGCACCAAAATTCATTGAGCCATATGCTGAATGGCCAAGAGTTAAAAAAAAAAATCAATATTAAACTGCAAAAAAGATCCAAACCAAATACTGCCATGGAGAAGGAACTTCTGGGATCCAAAAATAAATCTCAAAGCCACTAAAAATTAATTATAATTACTTTTTCATTATTAAAAATGTAATAGGCCAGGCGCGGTGGCTCACGCCTGTAATCCCAGCACTTTGGGAGGCCAAGGTGGGTGGATCACGAGGTCAGGAGATCAAGACCATCCTGGCTAACACGGTGAAACCCCATCTCTACTAAAAATACAAAAAAATTAGCCGGGAGTGGTGGCGGGAGCCTGTGGTCCCAGCTACTTGGGAGGCTGAGGCAGGAGAATGACATGAACCCGGGAGGCGGAGCTTGCAGTGAGCCGAGATCGTGCCACTGCACTCCAGCCTGGGCGACAGAGCGAGACTCCGTCTCAAAAAAAAAAAAAAAATTAGTAACTAAATTGTAAAAGTCTGACCTTATACATTATAGGTAAAGAATTATTAATATACACACACTAAAGCTAGTAGGAAGGCAGGTTCGTTTTTGTCTAATTTTACCAGGATGGGGTGCTGCCAATGGTGAAACTGACATGGAGTGATTTAGTCTCCTTCTGTCTTTAATAGTAACTGTCCGCAGAAAAGATGTAACTCCTCCTCTGTGGCTGTGGTAGGCTGGGTTACAGTGCCTTCTTCCCATCCCCTCCCTTTGCCTTATGACTCTGCAGACCCCCTCTCTAGATTGCCCTCTTCCTCACCCCAGTTGACTGAGCTGGACCATGTGAGCTACATTAGCCAATTGCCTGTTAGCAGACATAACATGATCAGAAATTTAAATGTACTGGAGTGATTTGGCTTGGCCTAGAGGCGTCTGCCACTTGCCATGAAAAGAACTTGCGCTGCATACCCACTGGTCCCAGAACGATGGAGACATATAGAGCATACCTGAACCCGACCTGAAGGCTGGGGTTCGCAGCGCCCTGCAAAGTCGGGGTGAGCCTGGCTGAAATCAGCTGAATCAAAGCTGTCTTGCAGACCTGTGAACAAAAACAGGAAGTGAGGGTTGTTGTAAACCACTAAGACGCTGGTATGGTTCACTTTACAGCATTGTTGTAGCAATTGTTGACTAATAATACGCCAATATACAAAACACTTCCAGGAAAATTAGAATTATGATATAAATTATTTTCTACTATTTTGCCTTTTATTATTTAAACTTTTACAAATGTTCGTAGTTGCAAAAATAATACGTTCTTTGTAAAGTTACTCTAGACGATCTAAATATTTGAATTGACTGTTGATCTGTTTTCCTACTTATTTAACTATTTGAACATTCTTAATGACAGTTTTGTACATAAGAAGAGTGGCATCCACAATCATTAACTGTTGCAACAATTTGTCTCACAACAAATAAATACACATTTATGCTTCAGTTGATTAACAATTCGATGTGTGAAACACATAAGAGATTTTTACTCCAAATGACATACAAATACCTCCTACACTTAAAGTGACTATTTTTGCATTAGCTCCAAATCTCAATGACATGTCATGTTCACAATGTGGGCGTTATCATCCTGATTAGATAAGAGGATGATTTCCACAAACACACAATCATTGATCAACGGCAAGCTCAAGAATGCCAGAACTTACATCAACGTAGGCATAAAAGTAAGCCTGGGGCAGATTCCAATTCCACTTCTTGGCTTCAAAACCTTCAGCAGCTCCCCACCAAGAAATAAAGGTCAACCTTGCAAGCAATTCATTCACTGGCCTCAGTCTCTTCCCTTCACAGCTCTTTAGGTCCCAGACACAAGGAAATCACCCTCTCTTATTAGAGTGTACCTCGTGTCTCAGTAACTTTGCTCTGCTGTTCCCTAAAGTCTAGGAGGCCCTTCCCTTCGCCCATTCCTTTGAGCCCCAATTCTTTGCAAATGCTCAAGTTGTAAGAGAAGTTCTCCTGGGGACTCACAGGACGACCTTTACTTCTCTATCGTTATCTTTATCTCACTACATGGCAACTGTTTGTTAACACATCAATCTCCCCATCTGAGTTGTGAAGGGCCTGGACTTTGGGGCCAGGACTGCGTCATCTTTACAGGCCCAAGACCTAGCACAGTGCCTCGTGGTAGATACATCTTAAGTGGAAGGGTAGCGGGGTTGATGCATAGACGTATAAATGGATGGATCTTTTCTCATAGACACTTCCAATCTTTTTAGAATAAGTACAAATAAAGAAAAGATAGCAAGACGACAATGATAACAGTCAACCAGCAATTGGACAAGTGTCCTCTGTGCGACGAGGATGGGGGGGAGGCAATTCCCAACCTCCCCCATCTTTTTGGCATGAATTCACAGTTTTTTCAGATTCCCTGCAACTGGCAGAGGTCACCTATGGGAGTCTGCTTGCCAATATTTGTCCCTGTAGCACAGGGGATGCCAACCCATGCATGCAGCCCACTCATCAGTCCTCCCCGCCTCTAGGAATGTTCCTGACATCCCTGCCGGCCCTGCCTGTCTCCTGACCCTCCTCTTTCTCAGAAGGTCACCTATGCTGGCCTGAGCTCATTATGACAACAGTAATAGGTGCCATCATTCACCTTTGGAAGTGAATCATGCTGCCTACTTGGGCAGGCCCAGGTCTGGCTTAAGAGATGTGGAGTTCCACCACCCTTGTCCAGTGGATTTTTTTTGAGGCTTTTAGGACAACTAAGTCCTTTCGTCAAATGGAAACCTATTGTGCAAAATAGATACAAGATGTGGCTGTGGCTGAAGCTGAGTGGAGTCGCCCAGATCCCCCGGCTCCATGGCCACCCGACCCTGAGACATCTCCGCCAGGCGTCATGGCTCTGTGGCACATGGTCTACAATCCACTGCCCTCAGCTCTGGCACTGGGCTTGGGCCTTGACACCCCCACCCCGCCATCCTCTGCAAATGTGCAAGTACCCTTCCTGCTGTCCCAGACCCCCTATAAAACTAGTGTCCTACACTGAACTCCAGTAACTTCACTGAGTCCCTGAGGCCCCACGTGCTTCTAGCAGACCTCTCTCTCTTCATGACACAAGGATTCTATTGTGGACACAGAGATCTCCCAGAATTACAAGGCAGTTCGAAGCCACCTGCTGCCAAGCCCTTCCCCACCTTATTGCAAGATTCTCCTTATTTTACTTTTACAGCTTTGACTCATTCAAAACCCTGACATTCCTTGAGAGAACACCCCCTCTCGGTCTCATTCCCATTCCTTGTCATTTGGTTGGGGCTGACTCCATCTCTCCCCATCTCAGTAGGTAGACACCCATCTGGAACCAGACCCACCACAGCATTCATCCCTGTGGACACCATGATTGGATCACTGATGGACAAATGGTCCAACCCACACAAATGAGATTCAATCCTGGGATCTTTGCCAGAACTTTCTTTCAATTAATGTTACTAAGCTACATAAAACAAGCCTCCACTGCTGGTAGCCACTGGACCACTGTGTGGGGAAAGCCTGTCCAAACATAGGGCCACACAGAGGAGAGAGGAAAGAGATAGAGATATGTTCTGGTGCATTTGAGCATCCGTATCCAATCATGGCTGATGCTGGCCCACCCCTGCGCCTCTCAGTAATATGAGACAACATTACTTTGCTTGAACCAGTTTGAGGTGGGGTCAAATATAATCCTCTAGCAGCTGAACTGTCCCTGACCCTGCTTTGCCCCTTAGAATATATGTTGGACAACTGCCCATTCTTACCCAGGCAGCTTGATGTCCCCAGCATCCTTCCTGCTGTCCCAGATCCCCTCTAAAACCAGTGTCCTACACTGCACGCCAATAACTTAGCTAGGTCCTACAGGCCCCACATGCTTCCTGCGGTCCACTCTCTTCAAGACACTAGGGCCCTGTTGTGAATGGGGGAATCACCCAGAATTACAATGCAACACGAAGCCACCTGGACCTAGGCCTGTTGCAACATCCAGCATCTCCTCTGCCCTTTAATTCTCCATGGGCTATTGTCACAGGTAGATGAGGCCTTCCTCTCTCCAGGCTTCTCTTGCAATCAACAATGCCACCTCTTCTAGCTGTTACTTCAGTATAATTTGCCTTTGATGACTTAAAGAAAACTGAAACAATCCATTCAATAGCAAATACCAGTCTCCTTTCAACATGTTTCTTTTCAGTGCCTAACGCACGGGCCTGCCTGTAAGCTACACCTATCACTACAGAGTAAAAGCATCAGAGTCTGAGCTGATGGGGGCATTTAAACTGGTAAGAAAAGTGATTGATTGTTGACAAGCTGCTGGCTCCTTGGTTTAGGATATTGATAGTTCATCAATGCCTCTTTCTGTGTATTTGACAACTTGTCCTGCTCCAGACAGAACAAGTACAGTTCCAGCCATGGGAAGGAAAGAGCTTGACTATTTGGTGCATGGAGCAGATTTTCACATAAATACACTTTTCCCTCCTAATATATTTCTTTCTTTCAAATAATCTGGGTCCCAATAGCCCAGCATGTAGTCACCATGATCTCCTAGCTTAGGTATCCATTCACCTCACAAATACCAACTCTAATATCAAAGACAGAGTTTGAATTTCCTTCCCTCTGCCAAAAAAAAACGGTGGCCCTGCTTACAAGATGCTCAAGATCTTCACACAAATCCAAGGGTTGGCTCTCAAAGTGAAACAGAGTTTCTCACCTGGTTTCAAAGGATTTAGCTCTCAATGTCAGCAGGGCACTGGATGGGAGAAATTCTACATGCAAACTCTGTTGACTAGATTAGGCCTGGTGTCCATTTGTCCGTAATCTCCATAGGCAATCTCATTCACTTTGGAATTCATTTCTACCCTAATGCTATTTCCCAGGTGTGGATATATGTCTGATGTGACAACGTCTTTGAGACCCAACCTGGAGCTGGGAGCTCCCTTCCTTTAGGACATTCTCAGGCGGCCTGCAGACACCTCAATCTAAATGTGTCCCCAACTGAACTCAGTATCTTCCTGGAAAATCTGATCATCCAACTTTTTTTTTTTTTTTTTTTTGAGACAGAGTTTCACTCTTGTTGCCCAGGCTGGAGTGTAATGGCGCAATCTCGGCTCACTGCAAGCTCCGCCTCCCGGGTTCAAGAGATTCTCCTGCCTCAGCCTCCCAAGTAGCTGGGATTACAGGCGCCTGCCACCACACCCGGCTAACTTTTTGTATTTTTAGTAGAGACGGGGTTTCACCATGTTGGCCAGGCTGGTCTTGAACTCCTGACCTCAGGTGATCTGCCCAACTCAGCCTCCCAAAGTGCCGGGATTACAGGCGTGAGCCACCGCACCCAGCCCTCTCTCAGTCTATTGAACCACCCATGTGCTCATGCCTCATTCATGAAAATTATTCCCATCTCTTCCTAGAGCCGACTGCCCCCAAGGCCTGTTGACACTACTTGCTTGGCTTCTCCTTGCCTGCCTTTCACCTTCATCAGTGCAGCAGCTTTGGCAGGGCTGGAATGACAGCCTACTAGCTGATCTCCCATTTCCCTCCAATTCACTTTGTCACTAGAGCCAGCGTGACCTTCTCTAAAACACAAATCCAACCCTGAGCTGCCCAGAGATGACTTTCTAGGGTAAACTCTGCTTCCGAATCCTGTGCTGCTGCCTGCAGTTACCAAGACATTTCTGCTGCCTCCTGGCGCTCCTTCAGGCTGTCTGCTCCCCAGAAGGGCCACCCTCCCTGACACCTTTCCCTTCCCTCAGTGTTGACCGTTGCATCATTGTATTCTACGTCCCCTGTAACTTGACCATTCCTCTAACATTGCACTCAGCATATGCCTGACAGTTTCTCAGCTCTGGTTCACTTAAAAACGTGCACGCCATGATTTCCCCCCAGCTGAATCCCCAGCATCTAATCAGCATTCAGAAAATCCCTGCAGACTAAAGATCAGGAGAGTTTCTGCCCCATCAATAACGTTTCCCTTATTCCTGGGATGACCCCCAAATTGACCTCAGAATGCAGCTGGTCTTGGGTCATAGACCCCTGTGGACAAGAACCCATGTGGCAGTTCAGATTTCTGGGCTAAAGGAAGATGCCTCAAAAGTTTGCAGCAGGGAACTCACCCTTTAAGGGGGAAGAGAAGATGGTGCAAGCTCCCTCCCTACCCACGGCAACTAAGAGTGCCCCCAGAAAACTCCCTCTGGCCCCATGCATTTTCACTAGTCGCCTAGGAGTCCCGCTTGGTATTTATGAGTGTAAGGACTGCTGCTATCACAGGCCATTTAACCTTCAAAGACACCATACTGCTTTTGAGAAGAGTGGCCTTTTACTTTCTATTTCATTAGCCAGGAGCATTTTATGGTTTAATGCTTGATCTTCTTCTCAGATGCAGAAATGTTAGTGGCTCCTCACTGTGAAGGCCTTTTTCATTCCCTGAGGGTCATCTCACCTGGAAGTAATCTACAGGACACTGGGTTCAAGATCCTCAGCTTGACCTCTGGTAAAACCAGCAGGAGGTGGCCCTCCAGCCCCAGAGGCCCCAGCTCAGAAGACAACTCAGCTTCCAGCTGAAAATGAGACAGGGAGTAAGGGGAAGAATGAATCCTTCTCAATAAATTCCAAACTACCATGTGACATTTTATCCTGAGGTATCATAACACGCATACCTTGTGTTATGGTATTTATATTTTCAAATGAGTGCATTCATCACAAACATCACTGCACAGCTATCAGCCTCAACTCACAGCCCTGGAATCCCATGGCCAGCAGCAGGTCCAGAGTCAGGTGGTCAGACAAAGCTGCAGGGAGACCAAGGCAGGAATAGAGCCAGACACTCCAACAACCAGTCCTTCCTGCTTTGTGCCAACTCCTACTGTGTGCCAGGCACTGCAGGTTCAGTGGCAGACAAGACAGAATAGTCCCTGCCCAAAGAGTGCTTATCTACACAGTGCGAGAAAGTCTGTGAAGTGTGTTGAAGCCAAGAGGAGCCTGGTTTTCACGCTAGGGGCAAGCAGAAGTCATCGAGGGCTTTTGGCTAGAAACTGAGTTATTGGCCAGGTGCAGTGGCTCACCCCTGTAATCCCACCACTTTGGGAGGCCAAGGTGGGTGGATCATAATGTCAGGAGTTCGAGACCAGCCTGACCAACACGGTGAAACCCTATCTCTACTAAAAATGCAAAAATTAGCCAGGCGTGGTGGCACGCACCTGTAATCCCAGCTACTCAGGAGGCTGAGGCAGGAGAATTGCTTGAACCCAGGAGGCGGAGGTTGCAGTGAGCCGAGATCATGCCACTGCACTCCAGCCTGGGCGACAGAACGACACTCCGTCTCAAATAAAAATAAAAATAAAAAATAAAAAATAAAAGAAATTGAGTTCTCTGGTTTGCATTTTGAATGGGCCATCTGGCAGTTAAAAATGGATTGTTGGAGAGTGACAGGAGATGCAGCAGATCAATCAAGGGTTAATGCAGTGGGTAGACCCAGCACTAAGAGAGAGTGTTGAGGAATGGATGTCAGGTGTGCCTGGAGTCACCAGTGCATACAATGTGGGGGATGTGAGGAAGAAAAGCATGCAAGATGCCCCTTTGGTTTTTCACTTGAGGACCTAGTGGAACAGCGATCATTTAGAAGATGGAAAAGGCTGAGTATAGAGAGGAAGTGTTTTGGGGGAGGAGATGATTAGAGTTTCCTCCTTTGAAGCCTCAGACAAATCATGGAGCCTGTTTAAGTTTTGTGCTGGACATTTTAAGTTTCAGACATTGTGTGGCAACATCCTGGAAGCAGTTGGACATCCAAGTCTGAAACTCAGGGGGTGAGAAGGGGGAGTCTGAGCTGGAACCAGAAAGAAGCTCAGAGATTGCAGAGTGGAAATATGAGGCTATCTTACACCCCAGGAGGGAATACGAACAATGGGATGGCCCCAGAGAGTTTCCATGAGACAGGCTTGTTTCAGGGTAAAAATAAAAAAGAGTTTTGAAGGGAAAGAATCGCCCTCTGCAATAAAGTCCAGATTTTCTGTGCATTAGGAGGTGAACAAACCATCCATCAGTAGAACCTGTCCCCCTGCCCAACTCCAGTCCTGGTGACACTCCTTCGAGGCCTCAGACAAGACAAGTCATGGAACCTATGAAAGGCTCCAGGTCTTTGTCTGTGAAATGATGAAATGAGTGTCGGACTCAATGGTGTGACCAAGACCCTTAGCACTTCACCTGTGAGCCCAAGTCATTCCTCTGGTCACACCTGTATGCTTGTGCAGTGCTAGGTGTGAGGGATGCTCAGGACTATTGAGAAGGTCCCCACATTGGGACATTCTTCTTTTTTTTTTTTTTTTTTTGAGACAGGGTCTCACTCTGTCACCCAGGCTGGAGTGCAGTGGTGTGATCATGGCTTACTGCAGGCTTGACCTCCCAGGCTCAAGCAATCCTCCCACCTCAGCCCGCCAAGTAGCTGGGACTACACGTGCGTACCATCACGCTTGGCTAACTTTTAAATTTTTATAGAGACAAGATCTCCCTATATTGTCCAGGCTAATCTCAAATTCCTGGGCTCAAGCAATCCTCTCCCCTTGCTGGCATTATAAAAGTAAGCCACTGCGCCTGGCAGGAAATTGTTCCATAACATTGGAGAACCCGGCCACAAGTAAGCATCATGTGGTGGATGTCTCGTGAAGTGCGTCTTCTCAGTGTGCTATCTGCTTCTCAATCCCTGCCTAGGAAAGCTGTAGGGCTCCGTGGTTCTGGTGATGGGCAAACTCTTCTCTTTCTAGGAGGAAAGAAAAGTATCTGTGGTGGCGGCAATTGAGAGCCACTCATCACTGTCACATGTGCTACAATCTGTGTTGTAGGCCAGGCCACCATGGAGATTACAAGGACACCGAGTCTAAGAAAACTATCTGCTAGGGCCTGAGTTTGTAGCTCAGAGCCTGGCCATAAGATTCAATCTGCTTACCAGTCACTCAACCCAAGACCTAGTTCCCACCATGAAGGGTGGGGGTAGGCACCAGGGGAGAAGAAGGGGTAGGAAGAGAGGGAGGGAAGAAAAGGAGAGGATGCTGATGCCGAAAGTAATTATAAATAACCACTAGTATTAAAATACTCACATATACACACGCTCACACATACAGCATAGTTGGGAACTAAAATCCAACTTGAGAAGTATCATAGCGGTGAGGAGGGAGCACGGATGTACACATGTGTTAAAATTTGGCCTTTAGGAAAAATGAAGTGCTGGTAAATGCTACAACACAGATGAACCTTGGACATTATGCTAGGTGATATACGCCAGTCATGAAGGGTTACATGTTGCATGATTCCATTTGCATGAAATATATAAAATGTCTAGACATGCAAATCCATAGAAACAGAAAGTGAACTCATGCTTGCCTAGGGTTATGCGGAAAGGGAAATTGGAGGGTAATGGCTAAAGGGCCTAGGTTTCTTTTGGGGGCTGTGAAAATGTTTTATTTTATCTTATTTTATTTTGTATTAATTTATTTATTTTTGAGACGGAGTTTCACTCTTGCTGCTCAGGCTGGAGTGCAATGGTGTAATCTCGGCTCACCACAACCTTCGCCTCCCAGTTCAAGCGATTCTCCTGCCTCAGCCTCCTGAGTAGCTGGGATTACAGGCATGCGCCACCACGCCTGGCTAATTTTGTATTTTTAGTAGAGACAGGGTTTCTCCATGTTGGTCAGGCTGGTCTCGAACTCCCAATCTCAGGTGATCGCCCGCCTCGGCCTCCCAAAGTGCTGGGATTACAGGTAAGAGCCACCACGCCCAGCCTATTTTATTTTATTTTTGAGACAGGTCTTGCTCTGTTACCCAGACTGCAGTGCAATGGCACAATCTTGGCTCACTGCAGTTTGACCTCTGGGTTCAAGCAATTGTCCCACCTTAGCCTCCTGAATAGCTGGGACTATAGGCATGTGCCACCATGCCCAGCTAATTTTTTTACTTTTTATAGAGATGGGGGTCTTGCCATGTTGCCCAGGGTGATCTCGAACTCCTGGCCTCAAGTGATCTTCCCGCCTTGACCTCCCAAAGTGCTGGGATGACAGGTGTGACCTACCATGGCTGGCTGGAAGATATTTTAAAATTGATTGTAGTGAAAGTCGCACAACTCTGGAGAGATACAAAAAAATCACGGAGTTGTACACTTTCAATGGGCAAATTGTATGGTATGTGAATTATCTCTCTCTAAAGCTGATTTTATATATATTTAAAATAATATATTTTTATGTAACTATATAATGTGTATTTTATATAAAAAGTAACATATATAAGTGCACTGAAACGCTCTTTTTGTGTGTGTTGAGGGTGCTTATAGATATTGCCTAATTCTAAATGATGATAGATGAAACACTGACTGTTGATTCAATTATTGAAGTAAGAAACATTCCTCTTTCACAAGAGGACAGAGACTAATCATAAAATGTTGCTCTTGAAAGCCACTTGCCAAACTCATTCCATCCCTAGGTTTGTTTGGGGGCTGGAAGAAATGTCACAGTTGGTTGTTTGAGAAATGCGATAAAATAAAATACATGTTTTATAATAAATGTCACTTCTGTCAATTCTGGCAGTTGCAATATGTGCAAAAACAGAACTGTCCCTGCAGGGTGTGAAAGTGGGAGCTATGTTTGGAGGAGCCGTGGAGCAGAGCCAGCAGGATGGAGCATGCCATGAGGGAGAAGATGCTGGAAGCCATGGGCGGGGGGTGCTGGGTATGGGATCAAGAAGACTCCTGACTGGCTACTCCTAACTCTTGTGGCCCACAATAAAGCAGGCTTGGTGGATATTAAAACTGAGCCCTGCTTGTACATTTTATTTTATTTTATTTTATTTTTTTATTTTATTTTATTTTATTTATTTTATTTATTTTATTTTATTTTATTGAGACGGAGTCTCTCTCTGTTGCCCAGGCTGGAGTGCAATGGTGCCATCTCGGTTCACTGCAACCTCTGCTTCCTGGGTTCAAGCGATTCTCGTGCCTCAGCCTCCCGAGTCACTTGGATTATAGGCGCCCACCACCATGCCCGGCTAATTTATTGTATTTTTTAATAGAGACAGGGTTTCGCCAAGTTGGCCAGGCTGCTCTTGAACTCCTGACCTCAGGTGATCCACACGTCTCAGCCTCCATAGTGCTGGGATTACAGGCTTGAGCCACCGCACCCAGACTGTTATCTTAACACTTGGTCCTGCCCTTGTCCAGCGGCTCTCAAACATGTGTATGCATCAGAATCATTTGGAGGGCTTGTAAGAACACAGCTCACTGGGCCCCTCCTCCACATGTCCAGGGTGGGGCATGAGAATTTACATTTCAAGCAAAGTCGAGATGATACTGGTACTGATGGTGACACCGAAGCTGATGCCAATGCTGGCGTGGCCAATCTGTGGACCACACTTTGAATAGCAACCGGAAGGGACCCTGCCAAATGCATTCTGGGGCCGGATGCTATCACACTGAGGATTTTTTCAACAGAAGTTTCTTCAGACCACTCTTGAGACGTTCCAGGGGCAGAAAGGGTTAAGGAAGAAAGGGAAGTTCTGCGCCTGAAAGACCTGCTGGGGCCCTCATACAGTTTAGATTGGATTCCAGGCTTCTTGCTTATTGATTGCAATCAGTTGTTACCCCTGTAACAAATTGCGTTAAATTATTGAAATAGTAATAGGCGCAGCTGGGTAAATAATGCACAGGACGGTGCAAGTCTATATTCATCAAGAGATTGTCCACACTACACGTCTCCCACTGGGCCTGGCTCAAAACGATTTGTTCCCACCAACCTGATATTTCTCAGTGCTTGACCATCTGCAGACTCCCCAGCTGAAGAGAATGAAATCACTCATGTATTTTTGTACAGGTCTCTGAACATAGTCTTCAAGGTTTGCCTGCACGCATCCACGAAGTGGCCATACGAACATGAATCCTAAGTGCCTTTAATCTGCTTAACAGCATGTATGCTAAAAGTATTTAATATCTCCTGATGGTAACGAAACTGATGATTAAAACAAGTTACTCTCAATTACATGCTGCGTTAGAGGCAATTTAATGAATCTGAACTCAAAAAGCCTTTGTTTTCAAAATGCAAATTTGTCTTTAAAAAAAATTGAGATTTGAGATTGCTTTTTTTGCCCCAGCGAAATGAGTTTTATGAAAACCAATGTTTTCTTAAGGAAGCTTTCGCTGTAATGAGATATGGCGGAGACGAGCCGTGGTGGGGCTGATGAGGATTAAGATAGGCTCTTTGGAAAGCACCATGAGACAGAACACACAAATCGCCATGGAAACCCAGTCATGTAGTTATTGTATAATAGGTTTGCTAATGAGCCTAAAAAGGTAGAAAGTCCACGGCCTAAGGGGAGATCAGGGTGGGGGTGGGTATTAATGAGTAATACAGCAAGAAAATGGAGGGATGGCGCAGCCGGGAATGTCCATCTCTCCCTGACCTGCCAGGCAACGGTGACATGCAGGGCTTGGCAGCGACATGCAGTAGAGGGTCTTGCTGTCCTGTTGGAGGTGGGGACACGAGCGTAAGTCATGGGCTAATGCCCAGTCTCCCCAGCCTCGGAAGCCTGCTGCTGCCTCTCTGATGTTTCCAGAACTCACGGAGCCTCCCAGATTCTTGGGCTGTGGGAGACCTAACCAGTTAGAGCAGGCTGTGCTGCTGCTGTTGCATCCGGAAAGCCAGCCTGGCCCTGCAATCTACAAGGCTCCAGGTCCGAGGCTGGACCAAAACCTGAAGGCAGGAGAAGGAGAGGCAAATCCATCCTGGGCGCTTGCACTAGCCAGGCCCTACCCTAGGAACTTTCTCCCACTGCAGCTCATTGGATGTGCTTCTACAGCCTAGTCAGGACAAAACATTTGCTGGACACCAATTATGTGCCCAACACTGAGCCCTTTTCTCTTAATATTAATGATCTCAATTCTGATGAAATACGAAGTAAGGGATAGAACAAGCTCTAGGTAAACACAAAGTACATTAAATATGTGAAACTGTCACATTTATTTCAGACCTTTTTATGTCTGTTTGTTTTTTGAGATGGAGTCTTGCTCTGTCGCCCAGGTTGGAGTGCAATGTTGGCTGGAGTGCAACCTGTGCCTCCCGGGTTCAAGCGATTCTCCCCATCTCAGCCTCCCAAGTATCTGAGATTACAGACACCCGCCATCATGCCCGGCTAATTTTTGTACTTTTGTAGAGATGGGGTTTCGCCATATTGGCCAGGCTGGTCTTGAACTCCTGACCGCAGGTGATCAGTCTGCCTCGGCCTCCCAAAGTACTGGAATTACAGGCATGAGCCACTGCGCCTGGCCCAGGCCTTTTTATGCTTTAAACACAACATTTCAGGTACAAGTAAAGTAACCTCTGAAACTCTCACCAATAGGTAGATCCTTCCTTCTGTGTCTTTAGGCTTTTTGCTACCTAAGTGTTTATTTATAAACAAACAATATTCTGTGTTTTAAAATGTAATAATTCATATCAACTTATGTTTATATTCTGCAGCTCAATGTTTCCATTTGACATTAAGTTTGCCAGAACCGTGGGTATTGTCACATGCAGATCAATAAGCAAGCTCAGTAACGTTGCTAGGATTAGCCCATGAATATGGTTGCAAGGCCTGGAGTCTGTATGATACACACCCTTAAGACTTGAGACTTTGAGGCCTAGAATGTGGTCAGGTGTGTGTCAGTGTTCCATGGGGGCCTGAGAAGTGTGCACCGACTCTGCTGATTGGGTTCTCTACATGTCTATTAGACCAAGCTTGTAAGTGGTACATACTTACTGATTTGCATCTGCTGGTTTCTAGAGAGTTTTTGTTTTTGTTTGTTTGTTTTGAGACAGAGTCTCACTCTGTCACCCAGGCTGGAGTGCAGTGGCGTGATCTCGGCTCACTGTAAGCTCCGCTTCCCCCGGGTTCACGCCATTCTCCTACCTCAGCCTCCCGAGTAGCCGGGACTATAGGTGCGTGCCACCACGCCTGGCTAATTTTCTTTTTTTTTGGTATTTTTTTAGTAGAGATGGGGTTTCACCGTGTTAGCCAGGATGGTCTCGATCTCCTGACCTCGTGATCTGCCCACATCGGCCTCCCAAAGTGCTGGGATTATAGGCGTGAGCCACCGCGCCCAGCCCGAGAGTTGTATTTAAAAATTTAGCAATAAGACTTTACCTGTGTCAATTATTTTGACCATCACCCCTTTTCAAAAACATGTATGACATGAGTCTTTTTTTTTTCTTTTTTGAAACAGAGTCTCCCTCTATCGTCCAGGCTGGAGTGCAGTGGCGTGTTCTTGGCTCACTGCAACCTCCACCTCCTGGCTTCAAGCGATTCTCCTGCTTCAGCCTCCCGCGTAGCGAGATTACAGGTGCCTGCCACCACGCCCAGCTAATTTTTGTATTTTTAGTAGAGACGGGGTTTCACCATGTTGGCCATGGTTGGCCAGACTGGCCTTGAACTCCTGACCTCAGGTGATCTGCCCGCCTCAGCTTCCCAAAGTTCTGGGATTACAGGCATGAGCCACCACACCCGGCCTGATAAGAGTCTTATGGATACAGAAATATGAGGCTCAAAGCTGGGACATGACAGACTTAGGGTTGGAACCTGTCCACTTCCAAAGGCAGTCACTTCTCTTTCTCCTAGAGGTTGGTATGATCTAGCCACCCAGCAAATAGAGGCAACTGGGCCTGTGTTGAAACCCAGATCTATGAGGCTGTGAGGTGAAAATGCTCAACTCCCAAACTATCGTGCAAAATCTAGCAAATAAAACTCTACCCATTCTACCTGGAAGCCAACCTGAGATAGCCATACATTGAGCGGCTCATAAATGTTACCCGAGGCCACCGCATAACATTACCCACCTCCAAGCTCATTTCCGACCTGCTTCCTCCTACATCAGATCCTATCTGGCTCTTGGAGCTCAGTGGCCTCCCTGACTGGCATCCCGCTATCCTCCACTTGTCATTTTAGCTGACCTGATCTTGCCTGCTGACTTTAAACTGGTCCCATGGACTTCCCCCAGCAGTACCAGCTCCCATGTGTGCCTCTACACACATCAGACCCCACGGGCCCCAGGCCCACTGCCCCAGTCCTCAGTGACCCCCTGGCCATCAGATGGCCCGGCAAAGGCAGGTTCCTAAATGAACAACCAAAGCCCATTCCAAAATGTCTTCCCAGCTCTTAAGTCTGATTTTCTGCCTCTTACAACGGAGATGGGAATGGCAGATTCACCACGACACTAACTTAGCTTGGGCCTCAGAGGCCCTCCTTTCCAAAGGCCCCTCCTAAGACGCTGGACTTAATTTTATCTTCTCAAGGAGGATTCAGAAAATCCTAGGAACTTCAGGTCACCCAAAACCTGGGTCCACCCCTGCAGAAGTGACTCTTTCTTGAAGATCTCCTCGTCAAATAGTGAGGTGCTTTGGGGAAGTTCATGGGTTTAATCCCAGGATTAAAGCTTACACGAGAGGAGCAGGCCTTTGCCCGTCTCCTTCCACTTGTGTATCAGGCTCAGAGCCTTCCCCCATGCCACCTGGGAAATGCTGGCCTGGGTCAGCCCTGCTCCGCTGTGGCCTTCAAGCAGAAGGGAAAGCTTCAGCTCCCAGCTCAGCAATGTGCCTGGGCCCCGCCCTGCTCCAGCTGTGTCCACTGGGCTCGTGGGGAAGGGCCAGGACCAAGCCAGATGATCTGACATGATGGAAAGGGAAATTCTCAGCATTCCTTCTGCAGGAGACCTTTGCCAAATGCAGTGCAGTGAGGGGCAGCAGGCTGGGGTTTTCTCAAGCAGCCAAATGCATCTTCAACCCTGGCAGAGTTCAGTGCGGAAAAAACTGGGTCATCTCTAACGAAGTCGAGTTTCAAGGGGAACAGGCATCCGCTGTGGAGCAGGAGGCCGGGAAGGGGAAGACCATGGGGAGGCCAAGGGAGGATACAGAATGGAGTCCTGAATTACTCTCTCAATGCACACAGGCTTCCAGTTTTGGAAAAATGTCTTTATATTCCCAGAAATGACCCAACGGAACAATCAGATTACATTATTTTCTCCAGTCTTCAATGCATAGTGATGGCTCCAGACAGAAGGGGCCAAAATCCTATTTTTAACTCTGTCTTGACTGTCACACTAACCAACCACCAGATGTTCCTCAGCAGGGACCCAAATGTTCATGTTCCTTTCTCCCCACCCACAGGGCGCGCTTGGTGGGGAAACATCAGTCTGGCACTGTGAACTTCCCAAGCCAGCTTCAGCTGCTCAGCTTCCACCAGGGCACTGGAGGGGTCTCTAGAAGGCTGCCAAGAGCCCTCTCTCCCCTACAGCCAGGGGAACACTCTACCAATGACTTCCTAACAGACTCTCTTGGGAGCCTGTGCATTTTAATGACTAGAGGCCTTCCATTATTATCATGTCCTCTTGACAAAGCCAAGTTTTCCTTCAAGACTCAGCTCATTGACTCCTCCACAAAGTCCTGTCCAGCCACCTCCCACCACCTGGAGGCTGAACCAAGCCACTACCCCCACCCCAGCATCTCTGCATGATAGCACTTACGACTGTATAATTGCCTACTTCTTTTCTTTTTTTTCTGAGACGGAGTCTCGCTCTGTCGCCCAGGCTGGAGTGCAGTGGCACGATCTCGGCTCACTGCAAGCTCCGCCTCCCAGGTTCACGCCATTCTCCTGCCTCAGCCTCCTGAGTAGCTGGGACTACAGGCACCCGCCACCACGCCAGGCTAATTTTTTTTTTTTTTTTTTGTATTTTTAGTAGAGACGGAGTTTCACCATGCTAGCCAGGATGGTCTGGATCTCCTGACCTCGTGATCCACCCGCCTCAGCCTCCCAGAGTGCTGGGCTTACAGGTGCCTGCCACCATGCCCGGCTAATTTTTTTTTTTTTTTGTATTTTTAGTAGAGACGGGGTTTCACCATGCTAGCCAGGATGGTCTCGATCTCCTGATCTTGTGATCTGCCCACCTCGGCCTTTTGGGAGGTGCTGGGATTACAGGCGTGAGCCACCACTCCTGGCCTTAATTGCCTACTTCAACTCCATCTTCCTCGATAGTCTCGAGGCATCACATCCCCACCCTCCCCTCCTGTAGCTCCACACCCTAGGGAGTCCGCAGACACCTTTCCCTTACTGCCCATTCAGTCATTATGATTATGAGCCACCAATTGACAAAGAAGCTATGACTTGGAAAGATTGTTTGCCCAAGGTTCCAAAGCTGGTAAGCATCAACACCTAGACAACACCCAGATCTTCTGATTCTGAGTCTGATACACCTTTCATTGTTCAGTGGCTACTGGTAACGAGGCTTTAAGGAGATAAAGATGGGGGGAAGCAATAATATTTTGATAAATGCAGCTCCTCTGCCCCCAAACAGAAGAATTGAATGACAAATTGTGGCCGAAGGCACAAGAAATAAAACAGTCACAAACTAAAAGGCCTACAGAGGCCAGGCAGGGACTGTGATGCCTGAAGCAGGCCAGGTGGTGAGGATGAGCCCTCTGAGAAGGTATGCCCAGATCCGGGCCCAGACTTTATTCAGAACCAACACATTGCTGCCACCAGCAACACGGGCTCATAATTGCTCATTTTATGTTTGTAGTTAGAATTTGGGCTCTGATATGAAATCTTCAACATTTTTAATGATGGCAGGTAATCCACATGTTTAAAGAAACAGTCTGGGGGTTGGGGAATAAAACGCATCTGCAAGCTGAGCACATACAGGCCACCAGTTTGCAACCTCCTCGGACATCAGATCAACCAGTAGCACATTAACCTCACTCAGCTTCCTGGCTGCTGCCTCACTGGGAGGCCTGGGGCTTCAGAGGATTCAGACAGAAAGAGCGGTCCTCAGCAGCGCGGCTGGCCGCTCCAATGTAGCGTCTTGCTCTTCTGCACTTTTATCCTCACAACCTGCAGTGGAATCACTGCATGATTTTCGTCACCCAGGGGGCCATTCTGATCAGTCAGCCTCCGGGGGGGATGACGATTTTTTGGTTTGTGTCTGATTTGGCATTTGCTTTGCTCCTACCAGACTTTCGACCACTTTCTTACAGGATGCCTTTGAGATTCTTCTTTAGGTATCCCCTGAACCTCACACAGTAATTGCACAAGAATGAACACTTCACCAATAGGAAATGGAAGAACAGATTGCCTCCCAAACCTTCAGCCCACTCCCTCCTCCCTGTCCCTCTTTGGGCATGTCTGTCTTAAACCGGCCGACAGGCAGGCTTTCCACAGACTGCTAGAGCGCTGCTGCTCCTAGCCTGACTGAGCATCTGCCATGTGCCAGGCACTGTTCCTCATCAAATCCTTGAAACAATCCTAGAGGACAGGTCCTAGCTTGGTTCTGTACTAACAGATGAGACTGAGGCTCAGAAAAGGAAAAAAACACAGTAGTAGCAAAGCTGGGATTTGAACCCAAGTCAGTGTAATTCCAGAGTTCACACCCAGTGATACCAGCTGTTATGATCCTCATTTTACAGATGGATAAATAATTTCAAAGAGATTAGAAAACTTCCTATAAGTCACATCCAGCTGGTAAAAGAAAGAAAGAAAAACAACAACAACAACAACAAAAACACCTCACAATTACATCAGGTCAACAATACACTCAGACCCCAGGGGCAATTCTAGATCCACTTCTAAATTTTAACACAGGCCTAGTTGAAATGAAAAAAAAAAAAAGATCCAGCTAGGCACGGTGGCTCGTGCCTGTAATCTCAGCATTTTGGGAGGCCAAGACAGGAGGATCACTTGAGGCCAGAAGTTCAAGACCAGCCTGGGCAACAGAGCAAGACCTCGTCTCTACAAAAAAAAATTAGCCAGGCATAGTGGCCCACGCTTGTCATCCCAGCAACTAGGCTGCTGAGACTGGAGGATCACTTGAGCCCAGGAGTTTGAGGCTGCGGTGAGTCATGATCACCCCACCGCACTCCAGCCTGGACAACACAGCAAGACCCTGTCTCAAAAAAAAAAAAAAGGAAAAATGATCCTAATAAGAACATAATTTTAATGCTGGCTTTGCTCTAATCCCAGCCAATCATGCCTTTCACTAAAAAGCTTAAAAAGTACACATGAACTTATCAGGTTGAATCTTCACATTTGCATGTAAATCTGATTTCTTCCCTGTTTACAAGTATGCCCTTATCGCCCAGCTTCTTGATACTCAGTGTGGTCTGCAGCAATAGCAACATCTGAGAGTCTCCCAGAAATGCGGAATCTCAGGCCCCACTCCAGACCCACAGAATCAGAACATGCAACGTTAACAACATTGCTAGGTGATTTGTTTGTATAGGAAAGTTGGAGGAGCACGTGACCCCAAGAAATCTCAAATAGCAGCAATTTTACAAACATTTCTCTTTGGTGTATCTAAAGACAGCATGGACTAGTAAAAGCTGTTTTGTTTTGTTTTTAAAATAAAAAAACAAAGACAGGGATCTTGCTGGGTTGGCCAGGGTAGTCTTGAACTCCTGGCCTCAAGCAATCCTCCCACCTTGGCCTCCAAAAGTATTGGGATTACAGGCATGAGCCACCACACCAGCCAAAAGCTATTTTTTTTAATACAAAGAGTCTACCGAGAGACAACGCCCCCCAGACAAGAGCCACCTGAGTGGCCCACAGTGAACTGTCTCAGAAATGTCATTTCTCAGGTGAACAAGCCAGCTTTTCAGGCTTCAGTGTCAGTTTTCAGTTTTCAGGTTTCAGTCCAGAAACCCTGGACTAAACCAGCTTTTCAGGGCCCTGTGTTGCACTTGAATGCTCAGCTACCCGCTTACCCAGCCACCAGCAACACCAATATCACCACGGCGACTCTGCCTCTTCACCCACCACACCCACCCGCCCTGCCTACAACTGTTCTGGGCCTGTAGTTCCCAGAGCCGCAGGGAGGGTGTCGTGGGTTTATCAAAAAAATTGGAAAAAGGAAAGAAAAGTGGCTTTCAAATTCCTTTCAAATGACTAGAGAATAAAACTGGTCTTTGGCCATATGGAAAAAAAAATGCACCCAAAAATGAGGTAATAGGGGAATAGCAATGAACCTCAGAGGCTGTCCTTAAACCAAACCTACGATGGGTTTGGAAATGTCCTTATAAAGCCATATTGGACATGCCACTGGTGATTCCTTGGTGGCCTGGCTGTGTGTGGTATGGGGCTGAGACCAGAACCGTGGAATCCCGGGTTACAGGAAGGTCGGAGCTGTTTCAGTCACCAGCCAAATCTACAATTAGTCCTTCGGGGAGATATTTCGGAAGGGACCCCTGGCTGGAAGAAGGACCCAAGCCTGGGAAAGCCAAGGAGCCTTCTCCAGAGGGCGTTGCTCGGCTTTTCTCAAGGCTTGCTGGAATTTCATTATCCCACTCACGGAGTACAGATGGGAATTTAATAATTAATTAGGGAATTGCTCACCCCAGAGCGCGTGCAAGGGGATTATGCAAATCAGTCGAGATTGTGGCAAACGGCTGAATATTTTATAGTGTGTTTAATTTGCAAACACTACCCACTGAGACGGCTTAGGTAGGAAACCTATAATAATAATTATTATTACTCATCAAAAACCACTTGAGTTTCCATCAAACTGCCTTCCTTTCAACTGCTTCCACCAAACCCTTCCCCCAAGAAATGTAGTATTTTTTAAAAAATGAAAAACAGAAAGTAACCGAAATTCAAAAGAATATTACGAATGAAATGAATCTGTCTAGATAAAATAAAAACTAACCTGGACGCTACCTTTTGCCAGCCTACAACTCTTGTAACACTCAAATATCTTCCATCCTGATAGTTTTCTCCTCTAGATACCAACTGAGCTAGCAAGCTGAACACAAAAGAGAGCAATGTGTTCCCCTGTGTGCACTCCACACACTACTTAATGCATTAATTAAGCCAACCATTGATTCTGTAAACACCCCTACATCCTTCCTATAAATATTCTTTTGCTTAAATAATCTGGAGCCATTTCCTATTACCTCCCAACAAGTGCCCTAGCTGCTCTAGCTTGTAAGGATAATAAGGGCTGGAGAAGTCCACGCTCCAGGGACTTCTAGCTAATTCCACCTGTTCCACCACCAGCACCGCCACAGGTTGAAAACTCAGTCCTCTAGAACAGGATTGGCAAACTTTTTCCATAAAGGGCCAAATAGTAAATATTTAGGCCTTGCGGGCCATACGGTCTCAGTTGCAACTTCTCAACTCTGCTGTTGCAACACGAAAGCAGCCTCAACCAATATGTAAACAAATGAGCATGGCTGTGTTCCAATAAAGCTTTATTCACAAAAACAGATGGTGGGCCAGATTTGGCTGCCACCCAAACCTTCTGGCACTTGATATTATGCATTTTGTAAAGCATTCATGCAATTTTCTTTTTTAATGACTCTGAGCATATGTACATGTAAACCTAAATGTATTAAATTAAACCAGTGGCTCTCAATGGGGGACAATCTAGCCCCCGGGGGACATTTGGCACTATCTGGAGATCGGGGTCATCTTTGTGGGTGTGGGGGTTGAGCAGTCAAATGGGGTACCAAGCTTAGAAGGACCCCGGCCCCACACTTGATTTAATGCTCTGCTGTTGCTGTCTTAAAATTCTTTTGTTGTGGTTGAGATGGAGTCTTGCTCTGTCGCCCAGGCTGGAGTGCAGTGGTGCAATCTCAGCTCACTGCAACCTCCAGCTCAGTGCAACCTCCACCTCCTGGGTTCAAGTGATTCTCCTGCCTCAGCCTTCCAAGTAGCTGGGATTACATGTATGTGCCACCATGCCTGGCTAATTTTGTATTTTTAGTAGAAACAAGGTTTCACCATGTTGGCAAAGTTGGTCTCGAACTCCTGACCTCAAGCGATTCATCCCAAGGTGCTGGGACTACAGGCGTGAGCCACCATGCCCAGCCAAAACTCTTAATACATATTTGTACAAGAGGCCCCACATTTTTATTTGGCATTGGGCCCCACAAATTGTACTGCCAGTTCTGCTAGATACACAGAAAACATTGACAATTGTCACAACTGGGGAGATGCTCCTGGCACCACCTGGTAGAAGTCAAGGATGCTGTTGAACATATCACAACCCAACCAAGAATGATCAAAACGTCAACTGTGCCAAGGTTGAGAAACCCTGGATTAAACCATGTGAACTTGCCAATAATCTGCTATTTTTAACCTATAAATATTGTAATTTTATATGTACAGTCTAATTTAACTATGTTTTATTTACAATCCAGGAAAAAAAATCCTCTCTCAATCTATGATTTCTGATTTTTTTGCCCGTTTAATCACCCCCAATTTGTGTACTCATGAATTTATCTGTTTTCTGTTTTTTTCTAGATAACTAATACAGGTTCAGCATCCTAATCCGAAAATCTGAAATTGAAAATGCTCCAAAATTCAAAACTTTTTGAATGTCAACATGATATTCAAAGGAAATGCTCCTTGGAACATTTGAGATTTTGGATTTTCAGATTAGGAATGTTCAACCTGTGTGTACAATGCAAATATTACCAAATCTGAAACATTTATGGTCCCAAACATTTCCAGTAAGGGATACTCAACCTGTACAGCAAATAGCACAAACTTCTAAGATTCAGAAGCATATTCAGGCCAGGCGCGGTGGCTCACGCCTGTAATCCCAGCATTTTCAGAGGCTGAGGCGGGCGGATCACCTGAGGTCAGGCGTTCAAGACCAGCCTGGCCAACATGGTGAAACCCTGTCTCTACTAAAAATACAAAAATTAGCCGGGCATGGTAGCGTGTGCCTGTAATCCCAGCTACTCAGGAAGCTGAGGCAGGAGAATCACTTGAACCCGGGAGGCGAAGGTTGCAGTGAGCCAAGATCACGCCACTACACTCCAGCCTGGGTGACAGAGCAAGACTCCATCTCAAAAATAAAATAAAACAAAACAAAACAAAAAGAAGCATATTCAGTAAAAATGAATCCCCCCACCCCAGCCTGCTCCCATCTCTGCTCCCCTCTCAGAGAAATCCCATCTTTCATTTTCTCATCTGTCCTTCACAGCTATTTTGTAAATGGAGGCATTCTGGCCATGATTACTCACCTATCTTCTTTCAGGATGTCCTTCATCTGCCCCCCAACCCACTCACAAAGGCTCCCCTACTGCTGGCCCATCTGCTTTGCCTCTCATTTTACCAGGGACACTGACTTCCCTGACAAGAGTTCCACTTGTCCAGAGCTTTCTGCTCCCACAGCTTTGTCTCTTGGAACCAACTGATTGGCTTTCTCTGTTCCCCTCTTCTGAAGTCCCGGCTGAATAAAAAGTCACATTCCACTTTCTATTTCCTACTTTCTCTCCCTTAGTGTTCTTTGTCACAGAACATATGATTGCTCTATTTAAAGTCTGTTGGGACCCAGCACCTGTCATAATCATTGAACAAAATGAAAAGCTCTTGCACTTGGTTCGCGCCAAACCTCTATACATAGACTTGACACCTTGTGTCTGTTCCAGGAAGAGCAGGAAAGAGACAGTTTGATGTTGGAGACTCTAACTGCCTGGTATCGATTTTGACTTGAAGAGTGAAGGAGGGGCCACCTCTCATTATGAGTGTGAGTGTGGTTGTGTGACTACCTATATGCTCTTCAATTATGAATACCACTTTTGAATTTATCCAAAGGACTATCAAAAGCAACCAGAAAAGCATAAGCAGGCAGATTACACCAATTCAAGAGAGCAATTAATTATTTAGCAGTATTTAACCACTATCTTAATTCAAGGGCGACACTTCTGGTTGGGAGGAGAAACTCCCAAGAAAATGTGGCTCTAGGCTGGGCGCGGTGGCTCACGCCTGTAATCCCAGCACTTTGGGAGGCCGAGGCGGGCGGATCACGAGGTCAGGAGATCGAGGCCATGCTGGCTAACACGGTGAAACCCTGTCTCTACTAAAAATACAAAACAATTAGCCGGGTGTGGTGGCGGGCACCTGTAGTCCCGCTACTTGGGAGGCTGAGGCAGGAGAACGGCGTGAACCCGTGAGGTGGAGCTTGCAGTGAGCCGAGATTGTGCCACTGCACTCCAGCCTGGGCCACAGAGCGAGACTCCGTCTCAAAAAAAAAAAAAAAAAAAAAAGAGAGAAAGAAAATGTGGCTCTAACCCCAGCTAGCAGGAGACAGTGGCTGGGAGGGCAGCGGGTCCCTGGTAGTCTGCCTCCTTTGTCTTCTTGACCTTCCAACTCCCACGGTGGCCAGGCTTCATCTCCCAGGAGAAGAGCTGCCCACCCTTGTGTCCCCTACCCCTGCTAGGAGGTGAGAATGAGCTGCACTGAGGCTGGTTGTCCTGGCTGTATGATGTTGGGGGTGGCAGCTCAGAGCTGGTGAGAAGCCTGGGCCACATTATTGATGGGGAAGTTTGGTCTCAGACGCCTGAGTGGGCCCGGCTCTCACCTCCCTAAGCATGGCTGTCATCACCCTGGCTGGTGGAGAGGACTGAGAGGAAGGAGAGGGGGCTCACCAGCTCTTCTAGCTGAACTGTTCTACCTCCCAGTGCTGCGACCGTATGTTCCTCCAGGGAACACTGGGTCCTCCGCAGTGCCAGCTACATCCCTGTCTAAATGCATGCTTGGGATGGTGAGCATCAGGAAGGAAGGGTGCAGTATAAGCTAGGGACAAAAGAATAGGAAGAGACGAGCTTCAATCCTAAATTCTCAGATTCATTAGAATAGCATGTGCAGAATTTTTTTTTTTTTTTTAGACAGAGTCTTGCTCTGTCCAGGCTAGAGTGCAGTGGTGTAATCTTGGCTCACTGCAAACTCCACCTCCCAGGTTCAAGCGATTCTCCTGCCTCAACCTCCTGAGTAGCTGGGATTACAGGTGTGTGCCACTATGCCCAGCTAATTTTTGTATTTTTAGTAGAGACGGGGTTTCACCATGTTGGCCAAGCTGGTCTTGAACTCCTGACCTCAAGTGATCCACCTGCCTCGGCCTCCCAAAGTGCTAGGATTACAGGCATGAGCCACCACACCTGCCCTGTGCAGCCTTTTTTGTTGTTGTTGTCGTAAAATGTGTGTAACACAAAATTTACCATTTTGACCATCTTTCCGTGTATAGCTCAGTAACATTAAATATATTCAGATTGTTATGCAGCCATCACCACTGTCCATCTCCAGAAGTTTCCCATCATCTAAAACTGAAACTCTGTATGCATTAAACACCAACTCCCCATTCCCCACTCTCCCCAGCCGCTGGCAACCACCATTCTACTTTCTGTCTCTGAATTCTACTATTCTAGGTGCCTCATATAAGTAGAATCCTTTTGTGTTCTGGCTTACTTCACTTAGCAAAATGTCCTCAAGCTTCATCTATGCTGTAGCCTATGTCCCAATCTCCTTTTTCAAGGCTGAGTCATATTCTATTGTCTGAATACGCCACATTGTGTTTATCCGTGCACCTGTTGATGGACACTTGGAGTGCTTCCACATTTTGGCTTTTGTCAATAATGCTGTTTTGAACATAAGTGCATAAATGTCTGTTTGAGCTACATAGATTTAAAAAAAAATACATATTCCCAAATCCTACCTTGGGAGATTCTGTTCAGTAGCTCTGGAGACTAACGGAACCTGCATTTCTAACGAGATCCCCAGCTAATTCTAATGCCAGACCAGGTGTGGGAAACAAGTACCTAGACTGCTGAAGAAGTTGTGCTAATCCCAGCAGCTAGTTATCTTTGCTGTTTCTTTGTAATCATATGAAAGTAAGTTTCATCCGTGCAAAGAGGGGTTGGGCTGAAGCAACACCTTATAGTGTAAAGTCTCCCTCTCCCAAATCCCACCCCTGATCATGAGCATAGAAACAGCTTCCATTTTGTAAATGTCAGCTCAACCATCTGAACAAGGCAAGTCTGATTTTCCTGTCTACAATAAGAAAACAGTCTCAGATACAGCTCGTGAACCAGGACTCAAATTCTCTCTGACCCTCAAGACCTTGCTGTTTTGCTCATGGTTTCTACTGTTCTCACTCTGCTAAGCCCACCGTGGCGCTGCGGGGTGACTCTGCTGAGAGATGCAGCATCTCTCAGAGGTGGGCTGTCTCCTCCCTCCTGGAAAGCTACCATCCACATCTTGGAACCAGCGAATATGACTTATGTTTCTTCTTCAGGAAACCTCAGTCTTCACTCTTAGGGTCTTCAATTGATTGGAAGAGGCTCACCCACCTTATGGAAGGTAATCTCTCTACTTAAAGTCATCTTGGCATAAATGTTAATCACCTTTTCAAGTACTTTCACAGCAACATCTAGACAGACTAGTGTTTGACCAAACTGGGCACCATAGCCTAGCCAAGTAGACACAAAAAATTAAGCAATTTGGAGTGCATAACTCCAAAATCTAGAGATTTATAAAAACATAAGGGGAGGGGTTGGGTGCGGTGGCTCACGCCTATAATCCCAGCACTTTGGGAGGCTGAGGCGGGCAGATCGTGAGGTCAGGAGATCAAGACCATCCTGGCCAACATGGTGAAACCCCATCTCTACTAAAATAGAAGAAAAAAATTAGCCAGGCATGGTGCTGTGCACCTGTAGTCCCAGCTACTCAGGAGGCTGAGGCAGGGGAATCGCTTGAACCCGGGAGGCAGAGGTTGCAGTCAGCCGCGATCGCGCCACTGCACTCCAGCCTGGGCGACAGAGCGAGACTCCGTCTCAAAAAAAAGAACTAAGAAGCATCTCAACTTGGAGTCTACTGTTTTATGTAAAAGAAACCAAATAAAAGATATTTTCAAAGTCTTGGAAGAGGAATCTGAACATAAATGAGAGGAAAAGGACTATTCGAAAAGTTGATAAAGCTTTGGAATTCGGAAATATGTTTGGGAACATTTCAATAAAAGAAGTGAGAAATTACAGACTCCTAATTTGGTGAAAACGAACTTATTTAATTATCTTTAGATTTGTTTATAAAAGAACTGAGAGTAAAGTCAGGTAAACTTAATGGACTATGAACAAAATATGCTCAAAATAATGAAATCAGTCGAAATCATTCTGACATTAAAAATTGTAAAAAAATATTTTAGATATGTTCAAAGATGAAATTCACTAAGAGAAAGGTGTTCCATTTCTAACAGAAGCAATGACTAAGCCCTTGGATTTTTACATAATCCAATTAACTGAATGAATCTTTTGAACGCATTGGGAAAAGATTTGTCTTAAACTCAGATTAAGTTGAATTTGCTCCCAAAATACTGGCATCGACAAGATAATTTAAACTTATAGTACACACTATAATGAAGAAATCAACAATGAACTGCTATTGAGCTTCACTGATTTAAAGAATTCAATGACTATTAAGATTAGTCATTCAGAAAACCCGAAGTACCCTAAAACTTCACGGCTCATATATAAATCTTGAGAGGTTTTCTCAATTTTGACAATGGTCCTAAATATGTGCATGATCAAATCAGAAATTAATTGGAAGTGAAACAAATTATTTCTAAACTGTTAAGAATAAAACTCAAATTTCTATCAGCCATGCCAGAGGAAGGACTGAACGATCTATTTTCGGTGTAGAAAATATTACCTTGTCATAAAAAGAGGCAATCAAAGAGCGTACGGAAAAACCGTGGAAGGATAAAAGCATTGTGGAGGTCAATCAGGCAGTTAATAAAAAGATCATATAAATTTTTAGATAGTGCAATGATTGTGGTAGTTGAACTTTTAAAAATTTGCATTTTATTGAGTCCATCCTCATTCTAAGTAAATATTCATTTTTGCACCTAATTTTACAATGATAATTTTGTATTTTAAAGGAGGGCTGCCAAATTTTATTAGCTTCCAGCTCCACAAAATCTGGATCTCCCCATGCCCCAGTCTGAAGGTCATACCCTATTAAGGGTCATACTCTAGCTACACTTTGCAACCAGGCCACAAACTCAAATGAACTGAACCTTTATCGGGTACCCACCATGTCCTAGACTCGGAATCTCCCCAGTCACACCTCTCAGCTGCATAGTTCCCAGGCACGCTCTAAGACTCCCATCTAATACCACCCATCCTAAGCCTTTAAAAAGCCAAAAGCCAAGCCCCAAAGACCTTTGTTTGTGCTTTTATCTTTCCCCAGAAACAGTCTCATAGAACACATAAGAACACATACTTAGGAGCCCAGCTGCCTGGGCTTGAATTCCAGCAACCTGACCTTATAACTTTGTGACCTTGGGAGAATTACTTCTGCGCTCTGTGACTCAATGTTTTCTTCTCTAAACAGGGATAATAACTGTATTCGTCCCTTCTCTTACTGCTATAAATACCTGAGACTGCGTAATTTATAAAGGAAAGAGGTTTAATTGGCTCACAGTTCTGCAGGCTGTACAGGAAGCATGGTGGCATTTCCTCAGCTTCTAAGGAAGCCTCAGGACACTACAATCATGGCAGAAGGTGAAGCGGGAGCACATACATCGCATGGCCAGAGCAGGCGGGAGCGAGAAGCGGGAGGTGCTACACACCTTTTTTTTTTTTTTTTTTTTTCGAGATGGAGTCTTACTGTGTTGCCCATGCTGGAGTGCAGTGGCGCGCCTGGCTAATTGTTGTATTTTTAGTAGAGACGGGGTTTCACCATGTTGGCCAGACCGGTCTTGAACTCCTGACCTCAGGTGATCTGCCCACCTTGGCCTCCCAAAGTGCTGGGATTACAGGTGTGAGCCACCACGCCCAGTTGGTGCTACATACTTTTAAACAACCAGATCTCACAAGAACTGACGATGGTGAGGACAGTACCGAGAGGATGGTGCTAAACCATTCATGAGAAACCACCCTCCATGATCCAATCACCTCCCACCAGGCCCCACCTCCAGCACTGGAGATTATAATTTGACATGTGATTTGAGTGGGGACACAGATTCAAATCATATCAATAATGATACACATCTCAGAGTCCTGTTGTGAGAATTAGGCAACTTTAAGTGCCTAGAAAATGCCTGGCATGTGTTCCCAGACACCTAGCAAGGTGTTTAGCAGAATGCCTCGCATATGATAGGTACTCAATAAGATTTGAGTCCATCTGAATTTGTGGCCTGGTTGGAAAGTGTGGCTAGGGCATATGACTTAATAGGGTATGACCTTCAGTGAATTAATTGATTTCTCTGGTCTTGGGTTTCTTTTATGTAAAACAGTAGACTCCAAGTTGAGATGCTTCTTAGTTCTAAAATTC
This sequence comes from Homo sapiens, assembly GCF_000001405.40. Taxonomy (NCBI): domain Eukaryota; kingdom Metazoa; phylum Chordata; class Mammalia; order Primates; family Hominidae; genus Homo; species Homo sapiens. The sequence continues at coordinate 93,113,429 of NC_000015.10, read as the reverse complement.
TGTGACTTACCAGAGGTAAAATAATTTGTAATTTTATTACTCACCAGTGTGAACACTCAGTGAGGCTCAATAATCGTAGTTCTCTTGACCATTTCTGGATTTTTGCTTTTGACTATGTGATTCTTCAAATATTTTTCTGTAAGCAAGCAGAATGTAATAGTAACAGCATCCCAACTGTAGAATTTGTGATTATAAGTTCACAGTAGTCTTATTATTTACAGTGGTCAGTCTTTAACATTTTACATCTTTGTTTTCCTCCCCTTGTTTTTTTTTTTTGAGACAGAGCCTTGCTCTGTCGCCATGCTGGAGTGCAGTGGCGTGATCTCAGCTAACTGCAACCTGTGCCTCCTGAGTTCAAGCGATTCCCCTGCCTCAGCCTCCTGAGTAGCTGGGACTACTCAGCTAGTGGAGGCAACAAGAGGACAAGGAAATAAAACGCTTCAGGTGACTCTTGATTGCAATGAAAATATCTTATTTTTGCAAATTTACAAAACTTAGGATCATGTGAACACTGTGCTGAAATCCCTTCCCAGGCCTTGGAAAGGGCCCTGAAACGGAATTTTCCAGGTTGAGAGAAGCTGGATGCCTGTGTTAGGAGACAACACAGACCCCAGAGGCTTGGCAAGGCAAGGCAGGGTTCACAGGACACCAGCAGGTGGGTAATGCCAGGGCCAGGGCACCCAAGGGCACTGAGAGAGTTTCCCTGTAGGTGATGAGGTGCCCAGGAGGAGTTTGAGTTTAGGAGTTTTCTTGCAGTTTAAAACAAAATTATGGAAGCAGGGGAGAATGGGAAATTTGAGTTTAATGCGTGCAGAGTTTCAGTTGGAGAAGGCGAAAATGTTCTGGAGATACACGGTAGTGATGGTTGCACAATGATGTGAACGTACTCAACCTCACGGAAATGTATACTTAAAAATGATTAAGATGGGCCGGGCGCGGTAGCTCACGCCTGTAATCCCAGCACTCTGGGAGGCCGAGGTGGGAGGATCACCTGAGGTCAGGAGTTTAAGACCGATCTGGCCAACATGGTGAAACCCCGTCTCTACTAAAAATACAAAAAATTAGCCGGGTGTGGTGGCACGTGCCTGTAATCCCAGCTACTCAGGAGGCTGAGGCAGGAGAATCACTTGAACCCAGGAGGTGGAGGTTGCAGTGAGCCGAGATTGCGCCATCGCACTCCAGCCTGGGCAACAAGAGTTAAACTCTATCAAAAAAAAAAAAAAGATTAAGATGGTAAATTTCATGTTATGGATATTTACCACAATAAAAAAAAAAGAAAACTAATTATAAAAATCTTTCACAAACTTCAAAAATTGAAATAAGCGTAAATCCACATACAGTTGTTAGAAATAATAGAGAAACATCTTGTATACTTTACTCAGTTTCCCCAAATGGTAACATTTTTGCAAAACTATAGTCCAATCTCACAATCAGGGTATTAATACTGATACAATCCATTCCCATCTTATTCAGATTCCCAGTTTTACTTGTACTCATTGCTGTTCGTGTATCAACTCTATACAATTTTATCACCTCTGTAGGTTCGTGTATCCATCATCACAGTCAACTATTGTTCAACAATTCCAACCCACACGGCTCTCTCCTGTTATAATCACACAAACTTCCCTGCACCCTGACCCTCAAGCCAAATCCCTGGCAACTACTAATCTGGTCTCCATTTGCAAAATGTTGTCATTTCAAGAATGCTATATAAATGGAATCGTACGATTATATACACCTTTTGGGTTTGGCTTGCCATACTCGACATTTTTTCTTGGAGAGTCATCTAATCTGTTGCAAGTACCAATACTCCACTCCCTGTTGCTGAGTAGCATTCCAGGGTATAGATGTAGCACAGTTTGTTTAACTATTCACCTGTCGAAGGACCTCTGAGCCAGTGAAGGACAGATTTTGGCTATTATGAATAAAGCTGCTGTAGACATCTGTGTACAGGTTTTTCTGTGAACATAGTTTTTCTTTCTCAGGGGGTAAATGCTCAGGAATGCAATTGTTGTGTGGTAGTTACTTGTTTAGTTTTTACAGAAACTGTCAAACTGTTTTGCAAAGTGACTGTACCTGGGGGTGGGCACAGTGGCTCACGCTTGTAATCCCAGCACTTTAGGAAGCCGAGGCAGGAGGATCACTTGAGGTCAGGAGTTTGAGATCAGCCTGGCCAACATGATGAAACCCTGTCTCTACTAAAAATACAAACATTAGATGGGCGTGGTAGCAAGTGCCTGTAGTCTCAGCTACTCGGGAGGCTCAGGTACGAGAATCGCTTGAACCTGGGAGGCAGAGGTTGCAGTGAGCCGAGATAGTGCCACTGCACTCCAGCCTGGATGACAGAGTAAGACTCCATCTCAAAAATAAAAAAAAGAACCACCCACCAAAGTGACTGTACCTTTTCTCATTCCCAACAGCAATGTATGAGTAATGTGTTTTCTCCACATCCTTGCCAGAATTTGGTGTTGCTGCTATTTCTTATTTTAGCCATTCCTTTAGGTAAGTAGTGGTATCTTGTGATTTTGATTTGCATTTCCCTTATGACTGCTGGTGCTGCGTATCTTCTTAGGGGAGAGGTGTTATGCATGGGAATGGTATGGCACATGGGAGCGTCAGAAGGGTCAAGTGAAGGTGGTTTGAGCCCCTGACAATGGCCACGGAAGGCCTGAGCCAGGCTATGACAGGGAAGGGCCAGAGAGTGGGGGTGTGGGGTTCCAGAGATGCTTTAGGAAGTTGCCAAATGTGGTGACTAAGGAGACAGGAAGAAGCATTGCTGAGGAAGAGGGAGGCATCCAAAGTAACTTCCCAGCTCTAACTCAGAGAAAGAAGTCTAGAAATGTTGATTTTTACCTGTGAGACATCCATGTAGCCCACAGGCATCTGGACACAAGCGTTCAACACAGCGATTGCATCTGGGCTGAATGTATGGATTTGGAAGCTCAGAAGTTTCCCTCACATAAGGTAGAGGGAGAAGTCTGATTGTTTAAACTTCTAGTCTATTGGTTCTCACATGTAGGCCACGGACCGGGGAGTCTAGAGACCATCCCCCCCACCCTCCAGCTCCCACACGCACACCATTTTCCATAGCACATGAAACACCTTGCACACCTAAGCGCGCTTTTTCAGTTGTATGTATGTAAATTGTTATGACTTCACGAATCTATTTTCTAAATTTTTAATTTTAGGTTTTCTTTTTTTTACGACTACTTTTCAATCAGATCATAAAAGTGCTAAAACCAGTGTGAAAGCGTGCAAAATGTCGACTCCTTTAGAAGTGGCCGTGACTTCCTGCTAGTTGGTCTTCCCAGGGACAGGGGGTCTGGGGGCTCTGAAGTGTCGGCTCTCGGATCCCTCGGTATTATTTTACAGAAACCACCTCCCGTCCGCTGTCCTTCGGGAAGAGTCCCTGCCCTTCCTGCCCAGCCCGACCCCCTCCCCGGGCGTCCCCACCAGTTCCTCCTCCAGCGACAGGTGGCTGCAAGCCTTGCCTTTGAACTCGAGAATCCCTCTCCCCAGCCCACAGCCTCGCAGCAACTCACAGGCCAGAGGGTCGACCCCTCTGGGCTGTGACTGGAGCCCTCCGGGGTGAAGGCACTGCTGGGCCCCCGACCCCCAACCCCGGGTCCGCCGTGCGCTCTGCGGGGGAGCTGCCGGGCGCCCCTTGTCCAGTGCTTGCAGCTCAGCTGCGGAGTTTTGTTGGCAACCGTTAAGAAGATTCGTAAGTTACATTTCCCAAGCCCTTCCCCTCTCCAGGAGCACAACACCCGCATCCCCAGCATCATGAAAACAAGCGCGGCCACCGCGATGTGCGACACGTGGGGCCTGGAATCTCACTGCAGACCGCGCTGCAAACGCTCAGCCGCGCCTTTGAATAAGTTAGACGGCCTGCGGGGGCGTCCGACCAGATAACACAAGGAATGCGGATGCCACCCTTGCCTCTGGTAGGTATTTCATCAGGTTGCTGCTTAAATATAATTCCAAACAAATTGAGGTTGTCCTTTGGAGGCGGGGAGGGAGGACGGGAGGCAGGAAAAAGAGAAAGCTGACTTGGCCTCTTCTATTACCCGAATTGCAATCGCTGATCCTTTGTGACATAAAAGTCATAGGTCAAATCCAAGATCTTACTGCAAATCGGCGGGGATTTTTCTCCCAGGAATATGAGACTGGCCTCTTATCTCCTGATAATACCTCTAGAGTCTCCAGCCCTGAGAATTAGCGAGAATGATGACACAGGGAAGAGACAACGGGGAGCCATCACCCGCCATCGCTCTGCATCCATTTAATTGATTCTGTATGTTTTTCAGTTCAGGGTTCCCAGAGCTCCCTACCATGCATTTTTTTTAACCCCAGGGAACATAGTGAAACTTCTTTTTACTTGTATTTATCTTTTTGCTTTATTTTTGAGTTCCCTAAATTAAAAAACCAATGTCTAGACTCTGATTATTTAACTTTGGCGGCATACATTGGCCCCTTGAATAATTTCCCTGGAGACCCACTGATTTTTAAAATGAATATAATCGGAGGAAGCCAGGAAGGAGGGAGGAAGAGGGGGTGAACCGGTAGTTGCGGGGGTATTTTTTTTTCTTTTTGAACTTATATTTTAGAATCAGAAGTTACATGTGCAGGTTCGTTACAGAGATATTTTGTGTGATGCTGAGGTTTGGGGTATGAATGATCCCATCACCCAGGTTCCTATAGTACCCAATAGGTAGTTTTTCAACCCTTGCCTCCCTCCGTCCCTTCCCTATCTAGTAGTCTACAGTGTCTTTTGGTCCCAACTTTCTGTCCTTGTGTACCCAATATTTAGCTCCCATTTATAACTGAGAACGTGTGGTATTTGGTTTTCTGTTCCTGTGTTAGTTTGCTTAGGATAATGGCCTCCAGCTGCATCCATGTTGCTGCAAGGGACATGATTTTGTTTTTCGGTTTTTGGTGTTTTTTGAGACGGAGTCTCACTCTGTCGCCCAGGCTAGAGTGCAATGGCTCAATCTCAGCTCACGGCAACCTCTGCCTCCCTGGTTCAAGCGATTCTCCTGCCTCAGCCTCCCGAGGAGCTGGGATTACAGGCGCCTGCCACCACGCCCAGCTAATTTTGAATTTTTAGTAGAGACGGGGTTTCACCATGTTGGTCAGGCTGGTCTTGAACTCCTGACCTCAGGTGATCTGCCCACCTCGGCCTCCCAAAGTGCTGGGATTACAGGCACAAGCCACCACATCTGGCCCATGATTTTGTCTTTTTATGACTACTGTATTCCATGGTGTATATGTACCACATTGTCTTTATCTAATCCACCATTGATGGGCACCTATGTTGATTCCATGCTTTTGCAATTGTGAGGAGCACTACAGTGAACATACAGGTGCATGCGTTCATTTGGTAGAACGATTTATTTACCTGTGGATCTATACCCCATAATGGGATTGCTGGGTTGAATGGCAGCTCAACTCAGTTCTTTGAGAAATCTCCAAACTGCTCTCCACA